>NC_000012.12:112914673-113066188 GCF_000001405.40 Homo sapiens
GCATTTCCCTGATAATTAGGGATGTTGAGCATTTTTCCATATGCTTGTTGGTATTTGTTTTTTTTTTTTTTTTTTCATTATTATACTTTAAGTTTTAGGGTACATGTGCACAATGTGCAGGTTAGTTACATATGTATACATGTGCCATGCTGGTGTGCTGCACCCATTAACCCGTCATTTAGCATTAGGTATATCTCCTAATGCTATCCCTCCCCAATTCCCCCCACCCCGCTTGTTGGTATTTGTATATCTTCATTTGAGAATTCTCTGTTCATGTCCTTAGCCCACTTTTTGATGAGATTTTTTTTTTCTTGCTGATTCGTTTGAGTTCTTTGTAGATTCTGGATATTAGTTGGATGTATAGATTGTGAAGATTTTCTCCCATTCTGTGGGTTGTCTGTTAACTCTGCTAATTATTTCTTTTGCTTTGCAGAAGCTTTTTAGTTTAATTAAGTCCCATCTATTTATCTTTGTTTTTGTTGCATTTGCTTTTGGGTTCTTGGTCATGAAGTCTTTGCCTAAGCCAATGTGTAGGAGGGTTTTTCCAATATTATCTTCTAGAATCTTTATGGTTTCAGGTCTTAGATTTAAGTATTTGATCGATTTTGAGTTGAATTTTGTATAAGGGGAGAGAGAAGGATTCAGTTTCATTCTTCTACATGCAACTTGCCAATTATCCTAGGACCATTTGTTGAATAGGGTGTCCTTTCCCCATTTTATGTTTTTGTTTGGTTTGTCAAAGATCAGTTGGCTGTAAGTGTTTGGCTTTATTTCTGGGTTATCTATTCTGTTCCATTTGTCTACGTGACTATTTTTATACCAGTACCATGTTGTTTTGGTGACTATGGCCTTACAGTATAGTTTGAAGTCTGATAATGTAATGCCTCCAGATTTGTTCTTTTTACTTAGTCTTGCTTTGGCTATGTGAGCTCTTTTTTGGTGCCATATGAATTTTAGGATTGTTTTTTCTAGTTCTGTGAAGAATGATGGTGGTATTTTGATGGGAATTGCATTGAATTTGTAGATTGTTTTTGGGAGTATGGTCATTTTCACAATATTGATTCTACCCATTCATGAGCATGGGATGTGTTTCCATTTGTTTGTGTCATCTATGATTTTCTTTCAGCAATGTTTTGTAGTTTTCCTTGTAGAGTTCCTAGTTATTTTAAAGTCTGTGTTCGGTCTTTCAGCATTTAAAGTTTGTAGGTTTATTACTATTTCTCTTCTTTCTGTTGGTCATAACTCTTAGTGTTTTGTTTCCTTGTGTGCCTGGTTACATATGTGCTGGTCATTGTATTTGAAAATTATGTGTGAAATAATTTGAGGTTTTGGATTATGTATATTCCTCCAGAAAGAATTTCATTTGCTTCTGTGCATTTCTTAGGAACATTACAAGTCCTTCTTCTCAGTTAATTTTCGTAGTATCTTTATCAGATAGGTGCTATTACAACCACTCACTTAGCAGATGAAAATCATGAGGCTCTGAGAGTCTAAGTCATCTACTTAGAATTGGACAATGGTGAAGCCAGGATTCAAACCCACATCAATAAGAATCCAGCGCTCTTAACAAGGGGCCAGTACACTTTTTTAAAAAATAAAAGGCTAGATAGTAAATATTTTAGACTTTGTGGACTGCACAGCCTCTGTTGCAACTACTCAACCCTGCCTTTGTAGCATGAATGCAGTCATAAACTATACATAAATGAATGAGCCTGGATTCGTTCCAAGGAAACTTTATAAAAACAGGTGGCAGGCTGGATTTGGCCCATGAGAAGTGTAGTTTACACAAAAGTTGAGCAAACCAATTTTTTTCTGATTGTTTTTCCTCTTCTCAGTGTAAGAAGAAGCTTGGGAAGCTGCCACCTCAGTATGCCCTGGAGCTCCTGACGGTCTATGCTTGGGAGCGAGGGAGCATGAAAACACATTTCAACACAGCCCAGGGATTTCGGACGGTCTTGGAATTAGTCATAAACTACCAGCAACTCTGCATCTACTGGACAAAGTATTATGACTTTAAAAACCCCATTATTGAAAAGTACCTGAGAAGGCAGCTCACGAAACCCAGGTATGCTATCCCCACATGGCTTAGCTCCCCTATGTAAATGAACACCTGGATACAGGTACAGTGCCTTGGAAATGGAGGAGGTGGGAGGGCTCCCCACTTAGTGAGAATCTCCTGTTGCCCATCATTGTACTGGGCATTTTACTACTGCCATCTGTTTTAAACACCTACCTCCAACCCTGTGAGGCAGGCACTATGCCAATTATTTTACAGGTGAGTAAACTGAGGTTCTGAGAGGTAAGGAGCTTGTCCAACCCTTAACAGAAAATGAGTAAAATAGCTGCAGTTTGAACTGAAATAAGAACAGCAGCAACAACAATGATAGTAATTGCTCCCAGGTATTGAAAGCTTGTTGTAAGACTAACACATGCTAATATAATAGTAAAAATTATTAGCAATATTACTGATATGTATGTTATGTTCTAGTCGCTGTGCTGAGCATTTCATATAACTGGGCTTTTTCTATCCTCACAGCATAGCCTTTGAGATAGGTATGTGGAACTATTCCCATTTTACAGATAAGAATCCTGAGGCTTAGAGAGTTCAAGTGACCTACCCAAGGGCACATCACTGATAAAGGGCAGAGGTGGGATTCAAACCCACATCTGTCAGGTGCAAGTGCAAGGCTCCTTCTCCTCATGCTCACTGCCTGCTGGGGAATAGGGCACTGGGGACATACCCCAGGGAGCCCTTCCTCATGTTCTGAGTCCCAGTTCATCCCATGCTGCTATTTTGCTCTCCCAGGAGCATCTGGACTCCCTAGACAGAGCCCCAGCTTCTCACCTGTCCCTCTCTAAATGCTGCTCTGCAGGCCTGTGATCCTGGACCCGGCGGACCCTACAGGAAACTTGGGTGGTGGAGACCCAAAGGGTTGGAGGCAGCTGGCACAAGAGGCTGAGGCCTGGCTGAATTACCCATGCTTTAAGAATTGGGATGGGTCCCCAGTGAGCTCCTGGATTCTGCTGGTGAGACCTCCTGCTTCCTCCCTGCCATTCATCCCTGCCCCTCTCCATGAAGCTTGAGACATATAGCTGGAGACCATTCTTTCCAAAGAACTTACCTCTTGCCAAAGGCCATTTATATTCATATAGTGACAGGCTGTGCTCCATATTTTACAGTCATTTTGGTCACAATCGAGGGTTTCTGGAATTTTCACATCCCTTGTCCAGAATTCATTCCCCTAAGAGTAATAATAAATAATCTCTAACACCATTTATTGACTGTCTGCTTCGGGCTCAGGTTCTGTCCTAAGCCCTTTAATATGCACTCTCTCATTAAATAGTCACAACAATCCCATGAGGCATTTTTAAAAATTTTTTATTATTTTAGATTCAGAGGGCACATGTGCCATTTGTTACACAGCTATATTGTGTAATGGTGGGGTTTGGGCCTCTATTGATCCTGTCGCCCAAATAGTGAACAGAGTACCCAAAAAGAATTTTTTCAACCTTTGCCTTTCTCCCTTCCTCCTCCCTGTTGGAGTCCCTAGTGTCTATTGTTCCCATCTTTAGCAGATGTTAAGTATTTGATTTTCTGTTTCTGGGTTAATTCACTTCGGATAATGGCCTCCAGCTGCAACCATGATTTCATTCTTTCTTATGGCTGCATAATACTCCATGGTGTAGATATACCACACTTTCTTTATCCAGTTCACACTGATGGGCACTTAAGTTGATTCCATGACTTTGCTATTGTGAATCGTACTGCGATAAACATACGAGTGCCGGTGTCTTTTGATAGAATGATTTCTTTACCTTTGGGTAGATACCGAGTAGTGGGATTGCTGGGTTGAATGGACATTCTACTTTTAGTTATTTGAAAAGTCCCATGAGGCATGTTTTCTATCATTCCCATCTTACAGATGAGACAAAGGCTCAGAGAGGTGAGGTCACTTGCTCAAGGACATCAGCTAACAAGTGGTGGAAATGGAATTCAAGCTCAGTGGACTCTAAAGCCAGTGCTCATGTCACTGTGCTAAACAGCCTGCCTTGTCACATCCCCACCTCTCATCTGACCAATGGGAGACTCTGAGCAGCTGAGTGACTTGGGTTGTCACACAGCTAAACAGGGGCAAAGGACCCAGTCTTGGATCTTTCCACCTCCAAGCAGGAATCTGTCTGATTCCAGGGGATTGATGATGTTGCAGATGGCTAGGAAGCAGACTCCAGGATGGAATTTAGTATGCAGGATGTTCTGGGGGAGAGCCACTGGAACCAGCACTCAGGGAAAGGGGGGAAGAAAGGATAGGAAGGAAGCATGAAAGAGAATAGGGAGAAGTGAACAGGGATGCAGAGCGAATGCCAGTTTCAGCCAACTCCAAGGACAGCCCTGGAGCTGGAATGGCCTTTAGAGCTGCCCCATGGTGACAGAGGTGGCCAGGCTTCTATACCCCTACGTGGATCACTCACTGTGCTTGGGCACCTTGGGAAAGGGCATGGCTTTGAGCAAAAGGCTCTCTGCAGCTGAGGCAACCCCTAAAAGGGCTGACGGCTGAAGTCTGTCTGCTGACCACTGTCCCAGCAGCTGGGGCTTGTTAGTCCTTCCTCAAAGGGGGATCCAGATGGCATGTCACAGTGTCTACCGTAAATGCTCACTGAATCCAGCTGCAATGCAGGAAGACTCCCTGATGTGATCATGTGTCTCACCCTTTCAGGCTGAAAGCAACAGTGCAGACGATGAGACCGACGATCCCAGGAGGTATCAGAAATATGGTTACATTGGAACACATGAGTACCCTCATTTCTCTCATAGACCCAGCACACTCCAGGCAGCATCCACCCCACAGGCAGAAGAGGACTGGACCTGCACCATCCTCTGAATGCCAGTGCATCTTGGGGGAAAGGGCTCCAGTGTTATCTGGACCAGTTCCTTCATTTTCAGGTGGGACTCTTGATCCAGAGAGGACAAAGCTCCTCAGTGAGCTGGTGTATAATCCAGGACAGAACCCAGGTCTCCTGACTCCTGGCCTTCTATGCCCTCTATCCTATCATAGATAACATTCTCCACAGCCTCACTTCATTCCACCTATTCTCTGAAAATATTCCCTGAGAGAGAACAGAGAGATTTAGATAAGAGAATGAAATTCCAGCCTTGACTTTCTTCTGTGCACCTGATGGGAGGGTAATGTCTAATGTATTATCAATAACAATAAAAATAAAGCAAATACCATTTATTGGGTGTTTATTAACTTCAAGGCACAGAGCCAAGAAGTACAGATGCATATCTAGGGGTATTGTGTGTGTATATACATTGATTCAACAAGAAATATTTATTGAGCACTTACTATGTGCCAAGCATAGCTCTGGGCACTGGGAATATAGCAATGCACAAAAGCAGACAGAAATCCCTGTCCTCATGACCCTGCAGAGCCAAGACTTCCAGAATTTTTTAAATAAAAAAATCCCTGTCCTCATGGAGTTGACATTTGTGCAAAACATCTTAATGTTAGATGGTTTTCCTATTACTAATAATTCTGAAATAAGCATCCTTGATTTATCCTTTCTCCATATCTCTGAGAAAAATTATAGAACCTCCCTGTGTGACACAGCAGCCACTAGCCACATGTATCAAATGCTTAAAATGTAGCTAGTCTAAATCTACATGTGCTGTGAGTGCAAGGTATATACTTGGTTTCAAAGACTTAGTACAAATGAAAAGAATGCCAAGTTCTTGCCAACTGATAATTTTTTTAATTGTGTGCTGAAATGACAATTTTTAAATATATTTGAGTTAAATCAAATGAACTTCATCTCTTTCTTTTCCCTTTTTAATTGTGGCTACTAGAAAATGTGAAATCATACATGTGGCTTGTGTTATATTATGTATTTCTATTGGACAGCTCTGTCCTCCAAGGTAAATCACTGGATTAAAGATTCGACTATACTGACTTACATTGCCACATTGTCACACTGTCCTTGGGACCAAGAATCAACATATCATTCATAAGACTCTAAAATATAAAACTCTCATAAATACTCACAAAAGAACCTAGCATGCTCTGATCACCTGAGTTGCTGGTCACTTTTGGTGGCTGGTAAGCAGCCTTTGGTCCGTCCAGATTATATTCTTCCATTTAGTCCCCCCACATCCCTGTGAGATGGGTTTTGTTGTTATTCTCATAATATTAAGTGGAATAACTTGAGGTTCTAAGAGGTTACAGTGCTTGCCCAGGGTCACCCAGCTGGTCAGGGGCAGAGTCTGAACTTGAACCCTAATCCTTCTCTCTCTAAAGCTCATGTTCTTAATCACTGTAGCATGGTCTTAATGTGTCCTCATTCATTGAAAGCTTATGTTTTCCTACTCTGGCGCCATGAGAACCAGAAGCATCAATGTCCAGGGGCAGGGAAAGATGAATGTCCCAGCTCAACCTGAGCACAGATTCACCCTTCCTCGGTCTTTTTGTCCTATTTGTAGACTGGATTAGATGATGCCAGTCTACTGATTCAAATGTGAATCTCTTTCAGAAAAACCCTCACAGATACACCTAGAAATGATGTTTCACCAGCTATCTTGGCACCCTTAGCCCAGTCAACTTGTCACATAAAATCAATCATCACACACTCCATGCTGATAGGCAAGTGTGGACATCCCAATGTAATGGCTTCATTGTATTTTACTGTGTGGAAAATGCACTTGTGTTGCCTTTTGAGAGTGTTTCATTTTATAGCAATGCCACAACCAACAGTAGATTAATGGAATCAGTAATTAGTTGCTTGATCGAAGAGCCACATGGCCACGTGATCAGCCTTCCATCTACAACAGGACCCAGGAGTATACCGGGATTGTTTTTCAAAGGGCATAGACATTTTTGCTGCAAATGACATGGGCTTACTCCAGAGTCCTGGAGGGGTCTGTGTTATAATTCTCTAAATAGATATTGCCATAATCTCTGAATGACACCTTTTCCCATGACTAACACTTTGAACACCATGGGGTCTGCCAGGCTGGTGTGGGCCAAGTAGAGGGGCGACTTGCACCACAGCCTATACCAGCTGCAGAGCCCTTTAGGACTTAATAAAAGGGTGCTAATTTCTGTACTTCCCTGGCTCTGAGATGTAATAGTGGTTTTAATTTACTATCCTGGCCAGGGAGGTGGCAGTTTCAAAGGTATCCCCATGACCTTCCTCACTGTGATAGCCCTCACTTAACCCTCAGGCCAATGTCGGGTAGTGTCTTTTACCAAGCATGTCCTTTTTGAATATACATTCAGGGGACAGGGAAATGATCACCAGGTCGGTCCATAGACACAGTGGGCAAATGACAAGCCTGACTTGGCCAGGGCTCCATTTTTCACTCTTGGCTCCTATATGCCCCTACTCTGATGGGGACAGAATCTGATGACGCTTTTCGTTATCAGTGTTGATCCTCTGCCCAACAGTCTTAGAAATGTTGAGTGACTCCCCTTTTCCAGTGTATCATCCTCTGAATAAATGGCCATAGGTCCTTTGGGGGAAACCATTACTATATATGCTATGGTGTCACAGCATCCTTTCCCAAGGGGACTCTGCCTCCTCTTTGTTAATGGGGTCTAGTCTGAAAACTGGGTTGGTCAGTTCCAAAAATCAGGAAGGGATGATGACTTTTTATTGGAATGGCTCCCCTTAACCCCCTGGTCGTCCGGCCTTGATTTCTTCTAATGGTATAAATTGAGTAGTGCCCTTTCAAGATACTCATCCACTAAGTCACTAAGAGGCCACATTGTGTTAACCAGGTCCCTAACCCTGTATCAGTCACGACCCCTGGCTGCCCCTCCAACCTCACCATTCATTATAGTCATTGCACCCACCTGGCTTCTATTGCTCTGGGAGTCCTGCCTGCCCTATTGCCCTTATCAATCCAAGCTCTGTAACAGCCCCTCTTCCCAGGAGGCCACCACCAGAACACCTCATGATGCAGGTGTCCCTCTCTCCACACATTCCTTATGGCCTCGGGGAATGTTTTGTCCCCTGGGACTCTATTTCCAGACTTACATAGTAAACATATCCACTCCTCTTCACTGTGCCCATTTCCCTTGGCCTCTTAATACCTTCTTCCATCAGCTCCACAGCAATTCTGGAATTTCATACTTTTCTGCATTTCTAGGAGCCATCCTAGGAGTCAGGGAAAACCTCGGCTTCACAAGTAAATGGGACTTCAGTTGTGTGCCAACATGCCTGGCTAATTTTTAAATTTTTTTGTAGAGATGGGGTCTTGCTGTGTTGTCCAGGCTGGTCTTGAACTCCTGGCCTCAAACAATCTTTCCTCCTTGGCCACTCAAAGTGCTGGGATCACAGCTACCATTCCCACACACATTTTCTTATTTTTAAAGGCTGTATGTGCACTGTATACATTAAATGTGTGCACTGTATACATTAACTGTGTGCACTGTATACATTAATTTTCTTTAACGAATTTATCCATTTATAGTTGCTTTGGTTGTTTCCACTTGATTATTGTGAATAGTGCTGCAGTAAACATGGGAATGCAGTTATCTCTTTGATATCCTGATTTCAATTCTTTTGGATACTCAGAAGTGGGATTGCTGGAACATATCGTAGTTCCATTTTTAATTTTTTGAGGAACCTCCATACTGTTTTTCACAGTGGCTCACCAACAGTGTGCAAGAGTTCCCATCCCTCCACATCCTCACACTTGTTATCTTTTGTTCATTCTTTAAAAAATGATAGCCATCCTACCAGGAGTAAGGTGATATTGCATCGTGATTTTGATTTGCACTTCTCTGATAATTAGTGATATTGAGTATATTTTCATAGACCTGTTATCCATTTGTGTGTCTTCTTTGGAGAAAGATCTATTCCTATCCTTAGCCCATTTTTAAATCAAGTTATTAATTTTTTTGCTAGTGAGTGGTAGGAGTTCCTTACATATTGTGGAGATTAACCCTTATTAGATGTATGGTTTGTGAATGTTTTCTTCATTCCATAGATTGTCTTTTCAGCCCGTTGATTGTTTCCTTTGCTATGCAGAAGCTTTTTAGTCTGATGTAGTCCAAGTTGCCTATTTTTGCTTTTGTTGCCTGTGCTTTGCATACGTGGCCACCTGATCTTTGACAAGATTGCCAAGAATACACAATGGGGAAAGGACAGTGTCTTCAACAAATGGTGTTTGGAAAGCTGAATGTCCACATGCAAAAGAATAAAATTGGACCCTTACCTTACAGCATACACAAAAATCAACTCAAAATGGATTAAAGACTTAAACGTAAGACCTGAAACTGAAACTACTAGAAGAAAACTTAGGGGAAAACTTCATGACATTGGTCTTTCCAGTGATTTCAGGGATGTGACACCAAAAGCACAGACAACAAAAGGCATTTATTTTTATATGGCATGTGAGGAAGGGGTTCAGTTCCAGTTCTTCCAATGTGGATGCTCAATTATCCCAGCAGCATTTATTGAACGGATCATGTTCTCTCCACTTCTTTGCAAAGCCACCTCTTAAATATTCCCAGAGCCCATCTATGTGGGAGTCTGTTTCTGGACTCTGCTCTTTTCCATTGGTCTATTTTTTGTGTCCTTGAGTTAACACAACCTTGTCTTAATTACTATAACCTTATAATTCTTAGTATCTTTGGGAGAACTCTGTTCTCTTTTTATCAAGTCATTGGTTCCTCTTGGCCCTTTTTATTTCTACATTAATTTTATACTCAATTTGTGAAGCTCCTCCCAAAATATGGGGAGGCATTTGATTAGAATTACACATATTAGCTTGGGAAGAATAACATCTATATTTTATATATATATCTATATAGAATTTGATGATTCTGATCCATGAACTTGGAGTTTCTTTTCATTAATTTTTGTCCTCTTTAGTGACAGTGACAATGTTTTATCATTTTCCCTGCAGAGGTCTTTCATGGTTTTTGTCATATGTATTCCCAAGTATTTGTTTCAGTACTATCGTACTTGGCATGCTTTCTTTAATTTCATTTTGCAATGGTTGCTTCATGGGAGACTTAAACATTTTCAGTGGTGATATTTGGCTATAGCATTATAGGTGATCTTTATACTTTTCTAAATTTTCTGTGGCCACGGGAAATAATAAAGACACTTTTCTTGCACAGAAAAAAAAAACTTTTGGGAAGTATTTCTCACAGCTAAGATCTGATAGTTTACGCAAAGTTGGCAGGCACAGGCTACAGAAAGCTCTGGGGTGCTGTTGTTTGGAGCTGCTGGTTCAAGGACAAATTCACAAGATTTGGAAACAGAGGACCAAGTGTGTAAGGACGAGGGAAACTATGGTATAACATTGAAGCACCTGAGCTGGAAATTTCTGAGCCCTCAGAGATAAATTTCCTCAGCTCCTCCCTGCCGAGAAAACAAAACTAAAAAGAGTTAATGTTTAGCCAACAGAAATGAGAGTGAAGTTCACAGAAGAAATTAGGGCACAGCTGGAAGTGTTCAAAATGAGGAAACGTTCAATGTCAAGTTTGAGATCCAGGGTTGATGGGTGAACTCTGCACGCTCAGCTTCATGTTAGGTCTCCCAGCTCAACGAGGGGGTGAATTTTGGTGTACTGCTGTCTTTGAGGCCCTGCGTGAACTCTCCCACACCCTCCCCCTTTTCCTCATACAAATCCCCTCCTTGCACACCCCTCACGCCTGTCTGTGAGGTGCCAGGGCCCCTCTCCCAGCCAACCGCAGGCCAGTATTGCCCCTCCCCAAACTTCCCTTCAGGCAGATCAAACCCAGGGCTCTGGAGTCACACTGCCTGGGCTCAAATCCTGCTTCTGAATCTTATGAGACATCAAGTCACTTACCTAACTCCTTGGTGAAACAGGCTCTCCTCTGTCAAATAGGTGTGCATGCTTTGGGAGGCCAAGGCAGGAGGATTGCTTGAGCCCAGGAGTTCAAGACCAGCCTGGGTAACATAGTGAGACCCTGTCTCTATAAAAATAAAAAAATTAGCCAGGTGTGGTGGCTCATGCCTGTAGTCCCAGCTACTCAGGAGGCTGAGGAGGAAGAATTCCTTGAGCCCACGAAGTCAAGGCTGCAGTGAGCCATGATCAAGCCGCTGCACTCCAGCCTGGGCAACAGAATGCGACCCTGTCTCAGAAATAAGTAAATAAATAAATACATAAATAAATTTGGGTGCAATTGTGGCTCTTAGTGTTACAGAGAGGACTGAAGGAGCTAATGGATGATGGATTTATGGCAGTACCTCACATATAGCTTATCCTAAAGGAAGTTAGAGCTTATTATGATGATTATTCAAAAATATTTATCAAAGGTCTGCCCTGGGCCATGTTCTGAGCTAAGTGCTGGGGATGCAAAGATGAGCAAGAGACTCCTCAGGGACAATTGTCTGATGAGATAACAGGCACTATTTATGAGAGGTCCAATCAATACAGTTCTATTTATCTTATAATTATCCAATAAATGATATAATAATTTATTAGAGGGCCAATAAATCTGATGGCAGGAGCCTGTGGGGGGTAATGGCCAGGTCTCACTATTGTGCCCAGGCTGGTCTTGAACTCCTGGCCTCAAGCATTCCTTCTGCCTCCACCTCCCAGCATGCTGCAATTACAGAGGCATGAACAACTGCACCTGGCCTAAAATTTTATGTTAATAAAAAAATGCATGTATTTGAGGAGTACGACATGATGCTTGAATATCATACTGTATCGGGGGAAACCAGCCCCCGATATTTCAATGTAGGTTCTTTTCTATTTTCCCCAAGTGTCGGCTGGTCTGAGAAATAAAGGGAAAGAGTACAAAAGAGATAAATTTTAAAGCTGGGTGTCCAGGGCAGACATCACATGTCGGCAGGTTCTGTGGTGCCCCCTGAGCCATAAAACCAGCAAGTTTTTATTAGCAATCTTCAAAGGGAGGAAATGTACATATAGGGTGTGGGTCACAGAGAACACATGATTCAAGGGCGACAAAAGATCACAAGGCAGAAGGTCAGGGTGAGATCACAAGGTCAGGGCAAAACTAGAATTACTAAGGAAGTTTCATGTTCCACTGTGCATGCATTGTCATTGATAAACATCTTAACAGTGTTCAAGAGCAGAGAACCAGTCTGACTAGAATTCGCCAGGCTGGAATTTCCTAATCCTAGCAAGCCTGGGGGTGCTGCAGGAGACCAGGGCGTGTTTCATCCCTTATCTGCAACTGGATAAGGCAGACACCCCCAGAGCGGCCATTTTAGAGGCCCCCCGGGAATGCATTCTTTTCCCAGGGCTGTTAATTATTAATATTCCTTACTGGGGAAAGAATTCAGGGATATTTCTCTTACCTGTTTTTGGTAATAAGAGAAATATGGCTCTGTCTTGCCTGGCTCCCAGGCAGTCAGACCTAATGGTTATCTCCCTTGTTCCCTGAACATCGCTATTATCCTGTTCTTCTTTCAAGGTGCCCAGATTTCATATTGTTCAAACACACATGCTTTACGAACAATTTGTGCAGTTAACGCAATCATCACAGGGTCCTGAGGCAACATACATCCTCAGCTTATGAAGATGACAGGATTAAGAGATTAAAGACAGACATAGGAAATTATGAGAGTATTGATTGAGGAAGTGATAAATGTCCATGAAATCTTCACAATTTATGTTCTTCTGTCATGGCTTCAGTAGGTCCCTCCGTTCGGGGTCCCTGACTTCCCACAACATCACTGTATACCTGAAATTAGCATTGATTCTAATTCTCTGGTCACACGTCATTCAGAGCATAGGATCTTCGGTGGATTTAAGAAGTGCCTCCCTCCCTATTCTCAGCCATGTGACTCCCAGAATCCTATGAAATTAAAGATCTTGTGTTTGGCCATAGGAGACTTCTATTCACCATCTTTGTTCTCTCCCACAAATGGCGAGGCCTCCAGTCTCCCACATGACAGCTTTGTACTAAAATCAACCTTACTCTATAGAACATGCATGATTGCAGCAGGACTACTATGATCTTGGTTTGATGAATTAGTTAGGATAACATTAGCTGCTGTAACAAACAGACCCCCAAGCTGCAGCATGACTCAGATGCAATATAAGTGTCTTTTTCACTTATATCAAGCAAGAATGACCAGATTTTCTGATTTTTTTTTCCGCTGTGCTAATGTAGGGAGAAGTTGTTGGAGGTCACGTCACAGTTCACAGCAACCATCTATGTTTGGGAGCAAGGATGCTGGAAATAGAATCCAGCATACTTGTAGCTTGTCCATAATTACAGACACCTTTGCATTTACTGAACTGAATCCTATGACTTGAAGACCAAAGACTGTAGCATGCCTGAAGGGACAGCCTCAGAACTGTGGATGCCTGTCCCTCTCCTGGTTTGGGTTTGTGCTGACCACAGGCAAACCCACTGAACTCAGGATCACTGCATAAAGTGACGTATTAAGCCTAGTGCCAGGATCTTTAGTGTTTGCAGGAAGGTCTCATGATTTTTCTGCTAACTCAGCTAATAGGTAGTCCTCTGTCCCTTCAAGTTACAAACACATCCTTCATTCAGGAATTTGAATGTTCAGTCCTTGATATTTTATCAACCCTTCATTCTGTGGTCAAAGGGCAGACGTCTCTCCCAGTTAAGACTGGAAGTTAGCAGCCTGCCTCCAGGGATGGGGTTGTGGTTGCCTTCTGCTCTCTCTGTTCCTCTGGGAAGCAGCAGAATCATTCCATGGGAGGACTAGAGCAGTTCTTTCTTGAGAGAAGAGATTTACTCCTTCCAAGTGTATTGGTTAGTGATTGCTACATAACAAACTACCCCAAAACTCTCAGTAGCTTAAAACAACTGTGAAGTGATTGATGCTCATGTGAGCATGGGTTGGTTGATCCAGGCTGGGCTCAGCTGGGCACCTCTGTATATGCTGTGGGTTCTCCTGAGCTCAACTCCTTCCTGCCAGTTGCATTTAAGGCTGTTCTGTGCGTGTCTTCTGGAGCCCAGGCTGAATGGGCTTTGGAGATGGCAGAAGCACAAGCGAGTAAACAGAGACACATGAAGCCATTTAAGGCCTCAGCCCAGCACTGACGTGCCGTCACTTCTCACATTCCACTGGCCATGCAAGTCACATGGCTGAGCAAACTCAAGGACTTGGGAAGTAACCATCGTCTTTAGTGGGAGGAACTACAACATCCCATGGCAAAGCATGGATCCAGGAAGCAGTGAAATGGGGGCCAGTGACTCAGTTTACCACACTGAGGTCTGGCAGATGGCTAGAAGTGGCGCTTTCTCTTGAGGATTGGGGGAGAGGGTGTGTTTATGGATTCTACAGCAATCCCAGGCCTGGGAACCTCTGTAAGTCCCTTTCCCAGGGCCTCTACATCTCTCCTCTACATGGTCCCGTCTAACTCCTGCCTCATCTAGATTTCTGTACCACACCCAGCTTCTTGTGAGCATCTCTTTGCTGCCAGAGGGCCCTGTGAGACAAGCCCCCAAGATGACCCCATGCCAGAATTGTCACCCATGTGATTCACATCTGGACCAGAGGAAATGCCTCCCAAATGAAGCCCATCCTGCCCCCATCAGGCAACTACAGGCCACTTCAGCTTTCTTGGGTGTAAGGCAGACCTCAGAATCTCTGTGTCTCCCAGCTAGATGGAAAGCTTTCCAAGGGGTCCTTGGGAAGCCAGCTGGATTGAGGCAAGGAATATCACACCCCCATCCATCTCCCAAAGGGAAGCAACACATCACCTGACAACAGTTCTCTCCAGGGCAATCTCTTTGCCAAACATTGCTCCTCTCCACACTCCAACCCCTTTATGTATTCTTAACATGACTGAGGAGCCCCTTTATAAATTCTGCATTTGGGAGTTTGTTGCATATTCTGTTTGGTTCCTGGAGTTACCTACACAAGAGCCTCAGGCAATGAGATTTTATTTATCAAACCATTACCAGATGTCAGGTGCTGTCCCAAACACTTTGTAAATGTTAACCCATTTAATCCTCATATAAATCCTATGAGGTAGGTGCTATTAACATCTTTATTTTAGAGATAGGGAAGCTGAGGCACAGAGAGGTTAAGTAATTAGCCCAAAGTCACACAGAAGGCAACTGTCTTCTCACCCAGGCAAGAAGAGTCCTTTTTTATGATAATAAGGTGGAAGAAGGCAAGGGGGAGATAAGCAAGAAGATGATAATGATGATGGTGGCCTTCCCTGAGTTACTGTGCTTAGCACTTAGTGTGCGTGGCCTTGCCTTGCCTGTCCTTTGAGACAGGTATGTCAGACTCTCCCCATTTCGCAGATGAATAAACTGAGGCTGATATAGTTTGAATGTATGTCTCCACCCAAATCTCATGTTGAAATGTAATCCCCAGTGTTGGAGGTGGGGCCTGTTGGGAGGTGATTGGATCATGGGGGTGGATTTCTCATGGGTAGTTTAACACCATCGCCTTGGTGCTATCCTTATGATAGTGAGTACATTCTCATGAGACCTGGTTGTTTAAAACTGGGTGGCACCTCCTCCCCACTTTCTCTCACTCCTGCTTTCGCCACATGATATGCCTGCTCCCCCTTTGCCTTCTGCTATGATTGTAAGCCTCCTGAGGCCTCCCCAGAAGCCAAGCAGACGTCAGTACCATGCTTCCTGTAAAGCCTGCAGAACCATGAGCCGATTAAACCTCTTTTTCTTTATAAATTACCCAGTCTCAGATATCCCTTAATAGCAATGCAAGAATGGCCTGATACAGAGGCTTTGAGAGGTCAAGTGACCTGCCCAAGGGCACACCACTGATAAAGGACAGATGTGGGATTTGAACCCACCTTTGTTAGGCCCCAGTGCAAGGCCCCTTCTCCTCATGCTCACTGCCCACTGCGGAGCTGGGCACTTGGGACACACCCTAGGGAGCTGTGCTCTGCTGGGGCCTTCCTCATGCCCCAAGTCCCTGCCTGCCCAAGGCCGGTGCTCTGAGTCTCCTACAGCCCCCTCCTCAGCCTCACTGGCCTCAGTCATCTTGGTTCAGGGAAGGACTAAGGTCCCCTTTGGTCCCTGCCAATCTGCACCCCACCCCAGTGTGACCCTCAAGAGCCTGACTCTGGCCTTTTACAGAATAAATCTGAACAAAATCAGGGTTCATTTTAATAGCAACAGGCTGCTGATGCAGACCTTATCAACTCCATCAAACTGTGTTCTTTCAAATGTTACGCTCCCCTGGGGGTGTCCCACACCCTGACGTCACACATTCACTCAGTGAAGCCCATATTCATTCGGGGAGCTCTTTCTTTCTCTCTTCTCTAACACACACTCTCCTTGGTTAGCTGGCTGCTGATCAACATTTCTGGATATACTGGTTTTCAGGAAAATATGATGGTTGGCTTCCAATCCCAGATTTTTCACTGATGGGTTCCATATTTACACCATCTTGGCCACAGTCTCTGGGTCACCATTTCCACACATACCCACACACCATAAAGAGAGGCTTTTTCTGAGTCTTCTGTTCATGCAGTCTGGAATTGTATTTGCTTTTGTTTTGGGGCATCCTGGGCAGCTCATTCCACTAATAGGCATAACCATAACCATTGCAGTCTCCACTTACTGACATTTACAACTTTCCAGGCACATGCTAGGGACCTTACATTCATTATTTCATTTTATTCTCACATCACAACCTTGTGAGGTGGAGGAGCATGATGGAAGGAGGAAGGAGCTAAAAGCAAAGAATCTGGAGTCCGACTGCCTGGGTTCAAATCCTAGCTCTACCAATTTCCAGCTCTGTAACATCGAGCTAATTTCCTAACCTCTCTATGCCATTTCCCTATCTCTAAAAGGAAGCTGACAATAGCATCTATCTCATAGGATTTGTACGAAGATTAAATGAGTCAATATTTATAAAGTGTTCGGAATGATACCTGACATCTGGTAATGGTTTGATAAATAAAATCCATTTTAATGATGAGGAAACAGGCTCAGAAGAGGGCGCTCATTTGCTCATGTGGTACAGATAGGTTCCAGACTCAAACTCAAGACCATCTGACTCTAAAACATCTAAAACTGTTGCCCCGCATTCTCTTCATTTGACAGATAATAAAACTGAGGCTCAGAGAAGCTAAGTGACTCGCCTGGGACTGCACAGCAAATCAAGACAAATAAGACCTAGGGTCTCCTGACTGCCAGAGTGGAGATGCTTCTATAGGCTTTTCTCACTGATGCTCTCTGGGCAGACAGGCTCCTCAATATGAGAGTGACACACACTCCTTTCTTCATTTTCAGGTAAACCTCACACTGGTTGGCAGAAGGAACTATACCAATAATTAGTGAACATGCGGTGAATTTGCAACAGACAAGAGGAGCCTCATTATCCTATAGTTTCCAGGTTGCTTAGGGAGGCAGAAATCACAGCAAGGAAAACCTTCAATAATAAACAGACGTCTCATAAAATTAATTGCAACCCAACCTCTCTCTCTACTTAAAATTAGCATCTATTTCCAGCTCTGCTTTCAATGCCCCATATGAATACATGTGAACTCCCTCCCTCTCTTCCTCCCTGTCTCCTTCTCTCTCTCTCTGTCCCTCATTAAAAAATAAAATTTAAGAAAAAAATACAAGGTAGATTTACACAAATAGTGGGATCTCAGTCTTGAGTTAGCTGTGTATGACTGAAAAGGATGCTGTGGTTAATAATTATCATAAAAACAATGACATGGCCGGGCACAGTGGCTCACGCCTGTAATCCCAGAACTTTGGGAGGCCGAGGCAGGCAGATCACTTGAGGCCAGGAGTTTGAGACCAGCCTGGCCAACATGGTGAAACTGCATCTCTACTAAAAATACAAAAATTAGCCGGGCATCAATGGCCAGCCCCTGTAATCCCAGCTAATCAGGAGTCTGAGGCAGGCGAATCACTTGAACCTGGGGGCTGGTGGTTGCAGTGAGCCGAGCTCACACCACTGCACTCCAGCCTGGGCGACAGAGTGAGACTACATCTCAAAAAAACAAAAACAAACAAGCAAAAAAAACCCCACAGTAACACAAAAGTAATAAAACTGCTGCTATTTACTCAGTGCTTATCTGATGCCAGCCACTTTGCTAAGCCTATGAATGCATTATTTCCCCGTTGCTACAGATGAGAGAATTGAGGTTCAGACAGGTTGAAATCATTGCTCCCAAAGTCACACAACTGGTGAGTGGCAGAGCTGGGATGCAAACCCTAAACTGCCAGCCCTCAAAGCCTGTGCTCTTAATCTCCACCCTGCTGTGCTTCCTTGTCCATTTAATTAAGCTCCACAGGCACACATTCCACGCCCTCCTTTGCTGTACAATCCCAGGCAAGTCGCTCAGCTTCTCTGAGCCTCAGTTTCATAATCTGTCAAATGGAGGTAACACAAATAATTCCTAGTTGTGACCAAGAATCATCATAGAAATCTGCCATTTCCAGCCTATTGTGCAATTCCTCAAGCACTGTGACTCCAAGTGGCATCAGCTCCTGGAAGAACACACTGTCTTACTGTTGTTTCCTCCTTTGTCAACTGATCCCCCCTTGAACCTCACTCTACCTCTGCTCTCAATGCCCCATCTACTGCCACCTGATTAAATAAAATCTTTTTTGAAAATCATAAGTGTCATGAGTAAGGTTTCTTGGTGTTGATGTAGAAGAACAAAACAGAATTGTGAAATGAGAATCACTGCAGCTATCATGAAGTCCTGCCTACGTGCCCAGCAGTTGCTAGATTGGCCAAGTTTTCCCGTGAAGGGCAATATAGTAAATATTTTAGGCCTTATGGATCATCCAACCTCAGCTGGACTCTTCATCTCTGCTGTTGCCATATGCAAGCAGCCATAGACAACATATAAATAAATGGGTGTAATGGCATTTCAATTAAACTTTATTTATGGACACTGAATTTCACAATTTTCACGTCACAAAATATTCTTTTATTTTTAATATTCTTCTGTTGATTTTTTTTCTTAACCATTAAACATGTTAAAAAGTACAAAAACAGCTGGGTGCAGTGGCTCACACCTGTAATCTCAACACTTTGGGAGGCTGAGGCAAGCAGATCACTTGAGGTCAGGAGTTCGAGATCAGCCTGGCCAAGATGGTGAAACCCTGTGTCTATGAGAAATACAAAAATTAGCCAGGTGTGGTGGTGGGCGCCTGTAATCCCAGCTACTTGGGAGGCTGAGGCAGGAGAATCGCTTGAACTAGGGAGGCAGAGGTTGCAGTGAGCCACGATAATGCCACTGCACTCCATCCTGGGCTACAGAGCGAAACTGTCAAAAAAAAAAAAAAAAAAAGGCACAAAAACAAGCAGAGGCTGGACCAGATGTGGCCCATGGGCCATAGTTTGCCAGTTTCTTCCAACATTTCATTAAGAAAAATTTCCAAGCAAACAGCCACATTGAAAGAATTTTGCAGTGAACACTCATATACTCACCACATAGATTTTACAATTAACGTTTTATTGCACTTGCTTGATTGCATATCTACAATTTCTTCATCCTTCTATCCATCCATGAATCCATCTTATTCTTTTGATGCATCAGAAGATTCTTTTTCTGCCAGGCATGGTGGCTCACACCTGTAATCCCAGCACTTCGGGAAGCCAAGGCCGTTGGATCACCTGAGGTCAGGAGTTCGAGACCACCCTGGCCAACATAGTGAAACCCCGTCTCTACTAAAAATACAAAAATTAGCCAGACATGGTGGCACACACCTGTAATCCCAGCTACTCGGGAGGCTGAGGCAGGAGAATTGCTTAAACCTGGGAGGCAGAAGTTGCAGTGAGCCGAGACCACACTGCTGCACTCCAGCCTGGGCTGTCTCAAAAAAAAAAAAAAAAAAAAAAAAAAAAAGGAAGGAAGGAAGGAAGAGAGAGAGAGAAAGAGAGGAAAGAAAGAAAGAAAGAAAGAAAGAAAGAAAGAAAGAAAGAAAGAGAGAAAGAAAAGAAAAGAAAAGAAAAGAAAGAAAAAGAGAGAAAAAGAGAAAAAGAAAGAAAGAATATTCTTTTTCAAAAAGAAACCAGCAGCAATTTCTTCCCGGGCCAGTACAAGGTGGTGAGTGAGTTGACTAAGCAGACAGGCAAAAAGAGAGAGAGTATCTGTAGGAGGATACTGTCACCTTTTATATATAGGCAATAAGCAATAGTTTTCCAAGGAGAACAGCAGATGATTTGCTACTGTATCAACCAAGAATATATTTGACCGTAGTAAGTAACAGAATGTGTAACAGACATTCTGAGTCATTTTGTTACACCCACAACTGTGGGTGACCTGTCCAGATATGCCTTCTAATTCCAAGCACCCCAAGAAAACCCCTGTGCTTAAGATTTTATCTAGCCATGAATCCAACATTTTCTATTTGCTTATTAATTTTTTGTCCATCTTCTCTCGTTAGAATATAAATTCCATGAGAGCAGAGGCCTTTTCACTTATTCACCACACATGTTCTGTGCTAGACCAGTGGCTACCATAAAGAAAACACTGAATAAATATTTATTTATTTATTTATTTATTTTATTTTTGAGCCAGAGTTTCACTCTTGTCATCCAGCCTAGAGTGCAATGGTGTGATCTTGGCTCACTGCAACCATTGCCTCCTGGGTTCAAGTGATTCTCCTGACTCAGACTCCTGAGTACCTGGGATTACAGGTGCCTGCCACCATACTCAGCTAATTTTTGTATGTTTAGTAGAGACGGGGTTTCACCATGTTGGCCAGGCCAGTCTCGAACTCCTGACCTCAGGTCATCCACCTGCTTTGGCCTCCCAAAGTGCTGGGATTACAGGCGTGAGCCACCGCACCTGGCCTTAATAAATATTTATAAGAATAAGGAAAGGATCTGTTTTCCACATCTCATAAGTTGTCTTTTATACCTTTCTTTTCTATGTTCTGCTTTCCTGTAATCTCGAGTAATTTCCTCCATTCCATCTTCCAGTTTACTGATTTTATCTTCAGGTATATTTATTCAGCCTATCTATGGAGAAGGTTCGGTTTTTCTGTTCATCTTTGGTTTTATTTTGCATTATGTTTTCACTTCCAATGTGATAGTGGTGATTGTTGACTTTCATCACTGTTCTTATTTCATGGATATGATGAATAATCATGAATACAATGAATAATTATAATGGATATAATATCTAATCCCTCTGAGGATATTAATTATATATTTCTAAGACCGTATTAGTCCAATTTGTACTTCTAAAACAGAAAGCCACAGACTGGGAAATTAGTAAAGAACAGAAATTTACTTATCACAGTTCTGGAGGCTGAGAAGTGCAAGACCAAGGCTTCAGCAGGTTAGGACCTGGTCTCTATGCTTCCAAGATGGCGCCTTGAAGAATGTTGTGTCTTTTGGAGGGGAGGAACACTATGTCCTCACATGGCAGAAAAGCAGAAGACAATGAGCCCATTCCTCCAAGCTCTTTTCACAGTGGCCATAATCCACTCACGTGGGCAGAGCCCTCATGACACAAACACCTCCTGTTAGACCCCACTTCCCAACTGCTGCATTGGGGAGTAAGTTTCCAACACATGAATTCTGGGGGACAAATTTAGACCACAGAAGACTCTTTCTCCTTTATTGATTATTTCAGTGTCCTTACATGTGAGTTTTTATGTTCATAGCATTGGATCTCCCAAAATAATTTGGCACCTTTGGATGTGTGCTTTTTGCTCACTGGGGATGTTCTGCTTGTCTCCCTGTGAAGTTGGTACCTTCTTACTGCAGCTGGAGGCAGAGATGAGGAAAGGGGATGTGCCAGGAATGAGTCTTCTGCATACAGGACTTCCTGTTCTTTCCAGATGTGGCCAGGTATGCTGTGTACTTCCCTGCCTCTCTGCCCCACCCTCACTGCTCCCTCCTTAGGCAGGCACCTCTGCTGCCTGTTACTCAACACAGAAAGGTTGGGGCGGGAGACCACATGTCTTTAGAGGCTGCCATTACTATGCCAGCACAACTGACAACCATGAGAGTTAACCTAGGGTCCCTTCTTTTCCTTCAATCCACTGCCTGGAGCCTGCAGCTCCTCAGAGCCTTTCCACTCTGCATAGGTACCCCCTCCTTTATGTGTTTTGGCTGCAATTTCCTCCTTCATCCAGTCTCATATCTCTGACAGGGATCTCAGATTCCAGTTTACCTGGGACACCTCTGGTTAGGACCCAGCAACATTATTAAAGTTTTTCTATCGCTTTCCTGCCACCTCTAGAGGCCTGGGATGGACGTTGAAGGCTTATGCATATGTTCAGTCCACCATCATGACCCAATATTGACCCTTCTGCGTTCCATCTTCTAAAAATGCCTCAAATGTCCCGCCCCCTTGACTCCACTTTTTCTCAGTTTCCAACCCTGTTGATTTCCATTATGCTTTTAATATATCTTTGCTGCTATTTTAATAGAATTTTGAGCATGTGTTCAATCCACTATCTTGAATGGAAAGTTTCTAAAGTGGCCTGTGACTCAGGAAGAAGACTGTGATTAATGGGCGAGAATGAAAATCATTGCTCAATCCCTTGACTTAAATCCCCACCACAACACCTGACCTACAAAACCTGCCCATACTTGAATATTCCAAGTGATGCAGCATTCACTACTCAAAATATTAGCTGGTGTACATATTACAGACCCAGCATCTCTCCCTCTAGTTGACCATGACCTCTGAAATTCACACTCTGATCCTATCTATTTCCTTTCAGTTACCGTGCAGATGTCAGGAAGCACTTGTTAAGACTATTACCTGAAGTGTACTCAGAGGCAGAGTAAATGCTGGGTCCCGGAGCAGACAGGAGAGAGGACCTGGGAGTTTTTTAGTAAGATGGGGAGGAGGAGATAGGCTATGGCTTGGACCAGGCCTGGAAGAGAGCTCAGGTGTGCAGTCTCTAGGAACCCGGGTGGAGAAGCAGCAGGAAATAAGCAGAAAAAGGAGACAGGCCATGAAGATAGAAGCGCAATGGTCCTGGATTCAAATCTCCACTCTGCAGCTTATAGCTTACAGTCCGCTTAGCTTTGTGCCCATTCCAAGAGGATTTCCCTATTGTAGCTTTACAATGTTTTAATATGTAGTATTGTTGTGCAAGGTACCATCCTAAACTGACTGACTTTCCTTCCTCCTTCTCCTCCAAAATAATTTTTAATTCTTGCAGACAGACTTTAGATCGTGTGTTTGAAGTTTTTAAAGATGGAATTTTTATTGGAACTGCATTACACGTATAAATTATTTAGGAAGAGTTGGCTTCTGAAGAGGGCAGCTCTGTGGGCTTGGGCTGGGTTTGAATCCAGCCAGACAACTTTCCAGCTGTGTTACCTTGGACAGTTACCTAGTTCCTCTGTACCTTGACTTCCTCATCTGTCAAATGGGTGATGATAATAGCACCTACACCATGGTCGTTGGGAGGAGTCAGTGAGAGTCTCCAAGTGTGCTTTATTATCGTTGGTGGTGGTAGTGGTGTTTAGAACGCATCCCTCAGTCAGACAGCGAGGTAGGACTTCTCCGTTTATTAAATCCTGACCTTTTTTTTCCATGTAAAACCTGCACGTTTCTGAAATGCTCAGAGTACGTTACTCAGTATGTACCCATATGTTCTGTGGGTATACTTTGTTAGGTTGTGATTAGTTCGTTGGAGCTGGTGGTTGCAGGGACGGCTGGAAGCAAGGAGATGAAGGAGAGGAAGTCGTAGCTGGGAAGGGGACCAGGAAGTGGGTGTCAGGTCCAAGAGCTGCTAGAAAGAAACGAAACTGAAAGCAGGGAATTTCCCAAGTTTGGGGAAGACAGGAACTGCAGCGCCCCTCCCCGTTTCACGCCACGCGCGGGACCGAGGACCTAGGACCTGGCCAGCTGGGCGTGGTTCGGAGAGCCGGGCGGGAAAACGAAACCAGAAATCCGAAGGCCGCGCCAGAGCCCTGCTTCCCCTTGCACCTGCGCCGGGCGGCCATGGACTTGTACAGCACCCCGGCCGCTGCGCTGGACAGGTTCGTGGCCAGAAGGCTGCAGCCGCGGAAGGAGTTCGTAGAGAAGGCGCGGCGCGCTCTGGGCGCCCTGGCCGCTGCCCTGAGGGAGCGCGGGGGCCGCCTCGGTGCTGCTGCCCCGCGGGTGCTGAAAACTGTCAAGGTGAGGTCCCACCTCGGGGTCTTTATGTGTCCAAAGGGGAGTCCTGGGAGGACGCTTAAGCCTCACATAGGCTTACGGTGGGGGTGGCTTTATCCGCTTGTGCACCTCATTCATTTCTTTAACAAATACTTCCAATGTGCCAGCCCCGTGCTAACTCCCCCGAACATACGAGCCAGGTAGGTACTCTTAAGCCCGCTTGACAGATAGAGAAAATGAGGCACAGAGAGGTACAGTGACGTGTCCGATCCTGTAAGAGGCCCAGCCAGGATTCAAATCCAAGTAGCCTGATTCCTGCATCTCTACTCTCAGAGGCTGCTTCTTATCCATTCATTCACTCATTCACTCATTCTCCCAGTCATTCAAACAGACTGTGGGCCTCACACTATGCCAGACCTTAAGGTTACAGAAGTAATAACACTCCGCGTAACAGCCAGAGTAGCCCAATTTATTGAGACATTATCAAATAACAATGAAAATTATCTCATTAAATGAGTATTACCTCATTTCATCCCCACGTTCAGTGAGGCAGGTATTATTGTACCTGTTTTATGGATAGGGAAACTGAGGCTAGACGCTAAATTACTACTCTGAGTCACATCTTTTTTTTTTTTTTTTTTTTTTTTTTTTTTTGAGACAGGGTCTCGCTCTGTCACCCAGGCTGGAGTGCAGTAGCATGATCTTGGCTCACAGCAACCTCCGCCTCCTGGGCTCAAGTTATTCTCACACCTCAGCCTCCCAAGTAGCTGGCACTACAGGTGCACACTACCATGCCTGGCTAATTATTTGCATTTTTTGTAGAGATAGAGTTTTGCCGTGTTGCCCAGGCTGGCCTGGAACTCCTGGGCTCAAGTGATCCACTTGCCTTGGCCTTTCAAAGTGCTGGGATTACAGGTGTGAGCCACCATGCCCAGGTAATTTTTGCATTTTTTGTAGAGACGGGATTTCACCATGTTGCCCAGGCTCCGGGTCACTTTTTGTCACTTAAATACAGCCACACTGCCACTGTGATCCCAGGACACTCGCAGATTCAGGGAGGAGACAAGTCATGAGCTACCTTATCCTCAGGGTAGATTTGGGGGTGCCAGGAGTGGATTGATGGAGGGAACCTGGGTGTGCTAGAGGAGGTTGTCAGGAGAGGGAGTGAAAACGCAGAGTAGAAATGGCCTCAGAGCACCTAGTGGTTTCCTGGGGCTGACTCTCAGCTTGGGAGGTGGGGAAGGAGGAGACACTTGTCGCCTAGGAGGTGTGAAGTCCCGTTTCTACCTTGGAGATGGACAGGAGGGATTTCTGTGCAGCAAGGGAAAGCCCTGGCATCCTTAGCTTCCCTGGAAAGGGGTGGGAGGGGGTTCTGGAGCACAATCTCCCTGTGCTTTCATTGTCTCCTTTGTAAAGTGAGCACGGTGCAATCTCCCTGTGCTTTCGTTTCCTCTTTTGTAAAGTGGTACCTTCCTTCTGGGGCTGTGAGGAAGGTTCAATGAGATGAGAGTGTGCAAAACGTGCAGGAAGTGCCCAGCCTGTAATATTCCCTGTTCCCACTTTGTCAGCAGCCCCCAGATGGTGGGAGCTGGTAGTAAAAGGACTGGCATAATCATCGGGATAAGTAGGGGGTCCCAGTTTGAGGCAAGCCTTGCTCCTGGAGGGCTCCATCCTGGTTCTTGCTGTTTACTGGCTGTGTAACTCATTTCACCATCTGAGCCTCACTCCCCATATCTGCAGCCACATGTAACTACATCACAGTTGTTTTGTGTTGGAAGTGAGATTAGAGACGTCAGATCCCAGACACAGAACAGTGGCTCTGACAATGTTTAGGAGTTTCTTTTCCAAATCCTCAGGTTGGAAGCTTTGCCGAAAGAAACACTAATCACACAGGTCTCAGAAATTGAGTCATACCACAGTTCTGTACCCATTCTGAGCAAAGATTGCAAATGTGTGTTCTGCAAAGCAGAATTTGTTTTACCTGCGGTCTTGAGTTTTTAAAAAGTTAGTTGCCAACATTTAAAAATCATGGATATAGGCCTGGCATGGTGGTTCATGCCTGTAATCCCAGCACTTTGGGAGGCCAACGAGGGCAGATCACTTGAGGTCAGGAATTCGAGACCAGTCTGGCCAACATGGTGAAACCCCATCTCTACTAAAAATACAAAAATTAGCCAGGCATGGTGGCGCACACCTGTAGTCCCAGCTACTCAGGAGGCTCAGGTGGGAAAATCACTTGAACTCATGAGATGGAGGTTGCAGTGAGCTGAGATGGTGCCACTGCACTCCAGCCTAGGCAACAGAGTAAGTCTCTGTCTCAAAACTAAAAATAAAAATAAAATTACAAGTATGGATTTAGCCCAGCACGGTGGTGCATGCCTATAGTCTCAGACACTTGGGAGGCTGAGGCAAGAAGATCACTCGAGCCCAGGAATTCCAAGCTGCAGTGAGCTACAATCGTGTCTGTGAATAGCCACTGCACTCCAGCCTGGGCAACATAGCAAGACCCCATCTCTTTAAAAAAATGTAAAAACTAGCCAGGCATGGTAGCGTGTGCCTGTAGTCTCAACTACTTGAGAGGCTGAGGCAGGAGGATCACTCGAGCCCAGGAGTTCAAGGCCGCAGTGAGCTATGTGTTCCAGCCTGGGTGACAGAACAAGACCCTGTTTCTATGGAAAAAAAATCATGAGTTTACATGTTAAAATTGCTTCTCTTGAAATCTCGAGCCTGGCTACCCTGGGCCCACATTCCCGCGTGGCTTCAATGCCTACAGCCATGTGGCCACAGTCTCTCCCCAGCACACTTGCCTCACTCAAGTTGCCTGCCAGGTTGCAAGGCCACTAGAATTGGACAGTATGAAATTCTGAGTTATTTTTCTTTGCCCAGGGAGGCTCCTCGGGCCGGGGCACAGCTCTCAAGGGTGGCTGTGATTCTGAACTTGTCATCTTCCTCGACTGCTTCAAGAGCTATGTGGACCAGAGGGCCCGCCGTGCAGAGATCCTCAGTGAGATGCGGGCATCGCTGGAATCCTGGTGGCAGAACCCAGTCCCTGGTCTGAGACTCACGTTTCCTGAGCAGAGCGTGCCTGGGGCCCTGCAGTTCCGCCTGACATCCGTAGATCTTGAGGACTGGATGGATGTTAGCCTGGTGCCTGCCTTCAATGTCCTGGGTGAGGGGTTCCTAGACCATTCCAGGGTTGGGGGCAAAAGATCATTGGGAACAACACAGGACTTCCAATTCTAGCCCAGCCACCAACTTGCTGTTTGACCTGGGCCAGCCTCTACCCCTCTCTCAGCCTCAGTCTGGGGACTAAACATATTGGACTTGTGCCAGACAAAGGCAGAGAAACCCCAGTTCCTCCTGGATCTGTGGTCCTGCTGTCAAGATGCTTGGCCCTCCCACAGGCATCTGGGAGTTTCCCTCAGCCACTGCCTGGAGCGGTTACTGCTCAGCCCTTCCACAAATACTCCCGAAAGCTAAGCCAAGTGGACATGTGGCTAGCAGTAGGGGCCTGGGGACGAAACCAGAATTCTGCAAAATCTTGTATTTTATGTTGAAAACATCAATGTGATTTTTGTGTTCTCCTTCGTAATACACGTATGCTTGAGTTAAGATAAAAATAGGCCTCTGTGTCCTCATCTGTAAAATGAGGATAATACTAATGGGGATAATAGTAATCTTATAGAGTTGTCAGAAGAATTAAATGCATTAATATATGTAATCAAGCTTAGAAGTGTGTCTAGTGGGCCAGGCGCAGTGGCTCATGCCTGTAATCCCAGCTTCGGGAGGCCAAGTTAGAGACTGCTTGAGCCCAGGAGTTCAAGATCAGCCTTGGCAAAATAGCAAGATCTAGTCTCTACAAATAATAATAATTTTAAAAAATAGCCAGGTGTAGTAGTACATGCCTCCCTCTGATCCCAGCTACTGGAGAGGCTGAGGTGGGAGGATTGTTTGAGCCCAGGCAGTGGAGGCTGCAGTGAATTGTGATTTTGCCACTACAATCTGTCTGAGTAAGACTCTTCTTAAAAAAAAAAAAGAAATAAGAATGTCTAGCATGTGATAAGGGTTGTAAGAGTGTTTACTATTATTATTATTTCTATTATTGTTGTTGTTTCTATTATTATTGTTATTATTATTATTATTATTATTTACCTTGATGATCTGGGGGATAGCTTTATCCTTTGGGCAGATAGCCACATCCCCTATGCCTGGTACCCTAAGCCTAGTGTACCCACATACTGGGTACACACACACACACGCACACACATTTTTAAGACAGGGTCTCACTCTGTCACCCAGGTTGGAGTGTGGTGGCATGATCTTGGCTCACTGCAACCTCCGTCCTGGGTTCAAGCAATCCTCCCACCTCAGCCTCCCGAGTAGCTGGGCTACAGGCATGCACCACCATGCCTGGCTAATTTTTGTATTTTTTATAGAGATAGGGTTTCACCATGTTGTCTAGGCTGGTCTTGAACTTCTGAGATCAAATGATCCACCTGCCTCAGCCTCCCAAAGTGCTAGGATTACAGGCACAAGCCACCCCACCCAGCCTGGGTACACATATATTAATCATAATAGTTACTACTTATTAAATGCTTAACTATTCCAAGAACTTGACATGTTTTATCTCATCAATTCTTCACAACAAACTTATGAGGTCTGTACTGTTTCAGCTTCAATTTTACCATTGGGGAAACTGAGGCTCAGAGACATACAGTGACCCACCCAAAGCCACACAGCAGGCAAGCGGTAGCAGCAACCTCAGGGAATTATGGAAAGTGTTTACTTCTCCCAAGCCATGCCCATGGGAGTGGTGGCGGAAAAGGCGCACCCTGCAAAGTCCACTGGCTCTGAGCTCAAATCCTGCCTCCATCGCATGCTGGCTGTGTAACCTTGGGCAAATCATGGAATTTCTCTGTGCCTCAGCTTCCTCAGCTATCAAGTGGGATGAAGAACTGTACTTGCCTCATAGGGTTGTGGTGGGGATACATGTAAAGACCTTCTGTCCAGTGCCCAGTATGCAGTAAAAAAAATATATATTTTTTTCTAAGACAGAGTTTCGCTCTGTCCCCCAGGCTGGAGTGCAGTGGTACGATCTCAGCTCACTGCAACCTCTGCCTCCTGAGTTCAAGCAATTCTCGTGCTTCGGCCTCTGGAGTAGCTGGGATTACAGGCGAGTGCCAACATGACTGGCTAATTTTTGTATATTTTGTTGGCCAGGCTGGTCTCGAACTCCTGACCTCAGGTGAACCTCCCACCTTGGCCTCCCAAAGTGCTGGGATTACAGGTGTGAGCCACAGCGCCAGGCCTGTAGTAAAAAATATCAACAACCACTGCTAAAGGATCAGGGCTTTTTGCCTTTTATTTCTTGGGCATCGTTTTCCTCTCCGTGACACCTCTTAATTAAGGATATGTAGAGTGGTGTTTTGAGGAAGGCTCAGGGAGGAGAGAGTTGCCAGGCTGCAGGCACTGCTGACTCAGCTGGAAGCAACTTTCCTGTTTAACCATCTTGGAATGCAGCTGCTCCTCTTTGAGCTGTTGCTCTAGGGACTGCCTGGCCATTTGGGATGGAGGGACTCTCCCACTGCATTCTGGAGTGCCGCTCTTCTTCCCTGCCTCCTGAAAAGCTCCAGGCTCTCTTCCCAGTCCCCCGACTCCCATGTTACCAGATTTCTTCCCCTCTGAATTCTTCCCACTCTCTCTCAGCGCCCCAGGCTGAGCTCGGCACCAACACCGCCCTCCATCCTGTGTCCTCAGTGCCCTCCCTAACTCACAGCGCTTCACACCAACAGGTCAGGCCGGCTCCGGCGTCAAACCCAAGCCACAAGTCTACTCTACCCTCCTCAACAGTGGCTGCCAAGGGGGCGAGCATGCGGCCTGCTTCACAGAGCTGCGGAGGAACTTTGTGAACATTCGCCCAGCCAAGTTGAAGAACCTAATCTTGCTGGTGAAGCACTGGTACCACCAGGTGAAGCCACTTGGAAGGGTTTCTCCAGACATGTGACTGTTTGCTTTGTGCTTTCATAGTCGTGAAACTGTTGTCTTACATTTAGTGGCCATTCATGTTCTCTCTCTGGGAATTGTCTGTTTATGTCCCTTGTGCATTATTTTCTCTTGGGTTAGCTGTCTTGTTACTGATTTGTTGAAGCTCTTTATATATTGTGGATACTGATCCTTATTTAGTTAATATAATGCATTCTTCCAATAGTCTTCCAGTCTGTGTCTTGGGCTTTTGCTTTGTTTAAAGGTTATTTGTAGGACAAAATATCTACAGTTTAATGTACTCAGATATATCCTTTGAAAAATGAGTTATTCTTTGTGTGTCTTAAGAAGTCTTTCCCTATCCTGCCAGGTGCAGTGGCTCATGGCTGGAATCCCAGCACTTTGAGTGGCCGAGGCAGGTGGATCACTTGAGGTCAGGAGTTCAAGACCAGCCTGGCCAACATGGTGAAACCCTGTCTCTACTAAAAATACAAAATGTAGCCGGGCGTGGTGGTACACACCTGTAATTCCAGTTACTCGGGAGGCTGAGGCAGGAGAATCTCTTGAACCCAGGAGGCAGAGGTTGCAGTAAGCCAAGATTGCACCACTGCACTCCAGCCTGGGTGACAGAGCCAGACTCCATCTCAAGGAAAAAAAAAAAAAAAAAAAAAAGAGGTCTTTCCCTGTCCTGACTTTGTAAAATGACTCTTTCATATTTCCTGCCATCATATTGTTTCCTATTGTATTTCTGTTCATATTCAGGGCTTTGGCCTGTCTGGTATGGTATGAGGTATATGCGGAGTTGGTACACTTCCCTCCCTAGCCTCAGGGATGCTCCCTTGCTCTGTTCATGTTTGTTGCCAGACTCTTATGCACTGGGGAAAGTGTGCCCAGCCTATGCCTGGAGATGGGGGAACAGGCTCCCCCAAAATCTTGCAGCACATGGACCAGTCATCATAAGCAGGTCTCTCAAGGAAGAGATTCTGGATTCCAGTTCTGGCTCAGCCATCTTCTTGCTGTGTGACCCTGGACAAGTTCCTAGCCTTCTCTGGGCCTCTGTTTCCTCCACTTGCACATAAAGAAATATATGCATCGGCAAATCTTACTCAGGTTCTTTCCATGTAAGATTCTCCAGGGGCAGAAAATGCTAATAGCCTGGTACTTCCTAAAAGGGCAAACTGCTGGGTATGGTGGCTCACGCCTGTGGTCCTCTCCACGCAGGAGGCTGAGGCGTGAAGATCACTTGAGCCCAGGAGTTCAAGGCTGCAGTGACCTAAGATTGAGCCACTGCACTTCAGCCTGGGCAACAGAGTAAGACTCTGTCTATAAATTAATTAATTAATTAATACAACTATGGAGCCAGCCTGGTTGGGCGTTAGAAATTCTATCTTGATCTGGGTGGTGGGTACACATGTGCACCCACGCATGTTTGTCACCCCAGAGAGAGGGGGTGAGCGGAGGGAGTGTGGAGATGCTGGGTGCTTCTAGCCAGGGGGGTCACTTTCTGGCATGCTGAAGCATCCCCTCTGGAGTTACCCAGAGGCCTGGGATTCTTGCCTTGGCATGGAGTAATCCCTCCCTGGTACGTGGAGATCCCAAGTATATGGTGCACAAATAGAAATCATGCATTTTGGGATGGGGGATAGACGGCTGGAGTGAGGAGGGAAGGACAGAGTTCTGGCCCGCTGCCCCACCCCACTCCAGGGGTGAAAGGGCGACAACTTGGTGTCCTTCTCCAATCAGCCACGCAACTGGGACCCCAGATCTGCTTCACCTTTATTTGAGGATAGATAGCAATTTCAGACTACCCTTGGCTTCTCTCTGACTGCTCCCTGCCTCCTTGGGACTTGAAACTTACACCCCTCCCTCCCACCACTCCCCCATCATATGAGCCAACCACTTGGCTGAAGCTACCAGTGAGGGCTGGTGAGAAATGCCACTTGTTCTTGGAACAGGCTTGGAACACAGCATCTTGCCTCAGGCTCGGCCTGGAAGGTCCCCAGTCTGGTTATGCAGAGAGCTGGCTCTCTTTCCTCCCCTTCTTCCTTCTGAGTCCCCTGCCGATGCCCTCTCACAGGTGTGCCTACAGGGGTTGTGGAAGGAGACGCTGCCCCCGGTCTATGCCCTGGAATTGCTGACCATCTTCGCCTGGGAGCAGGGCTGTAAGAAGGATGCTTTCAGCCTAGCCGAAGGCCTCCGAACTGTCCTGGGCCTGATCCAACAGCATCAGCACCTGTGTGTTTTCTGGACTGTCAACTATGGCTTCGAGGACCCTGCAGTTGGGCAGTTCTTGCAGCGGCAGCTTAAGAGACCCAGGTACTTCCTAATAGCCCACCATCTGCTCTCCTGTCCCGGGGCCAGGGGGAGATAATTGACAAGGACAAAACCGGTTACATCTACTGAGTGCTTGGGTATAGAGGCCAAAGCAAAATGCTACATGTACATGTTTTAATTCACTGGACTCAGCCCAGATGCACATTAGAATTACCTGGGGGAGTTTTAAAAAATATACCAGTGCCTGGCCCCACAAGTTTTATGCGTGAATGTTTTGCTGATGTATAGCAGAAAGTGCATGTTCTGATGACTGTGTGAAGACCGCATACTTTGAAACCACCACCCAGATCATGGTAGAATATTTCCAGCACCCCACTGGTCCCCTCTCAGTCAGTAACCTTCCAAAATAACCCCACTTACACTTTTATAATTACAGTTGTGCCTTTTCTTAAATCTTATTTAAATGGAATCATGCCACATGTACTTTTGTGTCTGGCTTCTCGTTCTGTTCTCAAGATTAAGTCTTTGAGATTTAGCTATATAGTTGTGGATCATTCTTTTTTGTTGCTGTATAGTATTCCATTGTGTGAATTTATCAAAATATGTTGTCTATTCTACTGATGATGGACATTTGAGTTCTTTCAACTTGGAACTATTACAAATAGGGCCATCATAAACATTCTTGGACATGTTTTTTTGGTGCATATGCATATCTGTTGGAAATATACCTAGGAATGAAATTGCTGAATTGTAGGGTGTAACTCAAGAGCCCTTGAGAGTGGATCCTGGTATCTTGTGATTCCAACGTGCAGCCAGGGTTGACAATGATAAGCAGGCAATGTTGTTTTCCTCATTTTGCGGATAAGGAAATCGAGGCTCAGAGAGGGTAAATCATTTGCCCCAGGTCACACAGCTGGAAAGTAGCAGAGATGCGATTGGAACCAGGTCCGTTTCACTCCAGAGCCCTCTTGCTAACCAGAACCTTCTTGTCTCTCTGAAATTGCAGGCCTGTGATCCTGGACCCAGCTGACCCCACATGGGACCTGGGGAATGGGGCAGCCTGGCACTGGGATTTGCTAGCCCAGGAGGCAGCATCCTGCTATGACCACCCATGCTTTCTGAGGGGGATGGGGGACCCAGTGCAGTCTTGGAAGGGGCCGGTAAGTGAGGGGGCCCCAGGACCCTTGGGTTTTGCACTTTGTTTATGTGTCCAGTGTTTCCTGAGCATCTACTATGTGCCATATGGTGTGGAACAGGCTTTAAAAAGCAGGGGTGGCCAGGTGTGGTGGCTCACGCCTGTAATCTCAACACATTGGGAGGCCGAGGTGGGCAGATTACCTGAGGTCAGAGGTCAGGAGTTCGAGACCAGTCTGGACAATATGGTGAAACCTTGTCTCTACTAAAAATACGAAAATTAGCCAGGCATGGTGGTGGGTGCGTGTAATCTCAGCTACTCGAGAGGCTGAGGCAGGAGAATTGCTTGAACTAGGGAGGCGGAGGTTGCAATGAGCTGAGATCACTCCATTGCACTCCAGCCTGGGTGACAGAGTAAGACTCCGTCCCAAAAAAAAAAAAAAAAAAAATGCACAGGGCATCAGGCATGTAAAACAGTCTTATCACCAAGCTCAAGCTGAAACTGCCCGGGGGAAGGAGTCCTTTGTTTTTCTGCAGCTATGGTCTGGTTACCAGACCTTTCTGCCCATCACAAGGGCACCCATTTTGCAGTTTATCCCTCCAGAAAGGCACCTTTTTCAACTCTGCCCAAAGATGGCCATGTGCGTTAGCCATGGCCCTCCCACTTCCCCTCTCTGAGCCTCAGTCACCCTGACTGTACAAAGGGCGGGAGCTGGGGAGAGAAGGCATTGGGTTGATGCAGAAACCACTGCGCCTGGCTGAGGCAGCTCCTTCAATGACCTTCCAGGGCCTTCCACGTGCTGGATGCTCAGGTTTGGGCCACCCCATCCAGCTAGACCCTAACCAGAAGACCCCTGAAAACAGCAAGAGCCTCAATGCTGTGTACCCAAGAGCAGGGAGCAAACCTCCCTCATGCCCAGCTCCTGGCCCCACTGGGGCAGCCAGCATCGTCCCCTCTGTGCCGGGAATGGCCTTGGACCTGTCTCAGATCCCCACCAAGGAGCTGGACCGCTTCATCCAGGACCACCTGAAGCCGAGCCCCCAGTTCCAGGAGCAGGTGAAAAAGGCCATTGACATCATCTTGCGCTGCCTCCATGAGAACTGTGTTCACAAGGCCTCAAGAGTCAGTAAAGTGAGTTGGGCCAGTGGAGACACAGGGGGGACCCTATCGAGGGATCAGCGTGGGGAAGGGAAGGAGTTACAGCAATGGAGCTGAGGTTGGGCTGGGGAACTGGACGGCCCAGGAAGGATGATTTGCTGGCTTAAATAAAATATATTTAAGTGCCAGCTTAGATTTTCTTTTTTTTAATGATACAGTTTTTAAAACACTATTACAAGAATCAGATCACTTCCCTCCTCAGCTCAAAATTCTCCATGGTTTCACAGGGCGCAGAGGCCTCAAGTCCTACAGGATGGGCCCTGGTCTCCCTCTGGCCTTGACTTACTCCACACTGGCCTCCTGGCTGCTCTGAGCTTACCAGGTCCACAGAACAATTCAAGGCCTCTGTAGTGGCTGTTTTCTCTTCCTAGAAGAAAATGAGAATTCTCTTCCCCAACCATTTGGCTCTCTCTCTCTCGCTCTCTCTGTCTCTCCTCTTCAAGTTTCTTGATCTGATGTCCTCGTCCACTGAGGCCTGACCACACGATTTAAAATTGCAGTCTTGCCCGGGCACGGTGGCTCACGCCTGTAATCCTGGAACTTTGGGAGGCCAAGGTGGGCAGATCACCTGAGGTCAGGAGTTCAAGACCACCCTGGCCAACATGGTGAAACCCTGTCTCTACTGAAAATACAAAAATTAGCTGGGCATGGTGACGGGCCCCTGTAATCCCAGCTATGCAGGAGGCTGAGGCAGGAAAATCGCTTGAACCCGGGAGGCGGAGGTTGCAGTGAGCTGAGACCATGCCACTGCACTCCAGCCTGGGCGACAAGAGTGAAACTCCGTCTCAAAAATAAAAATAAATAAAAATAAAATTGCAGTCTTGCACTACCAGCCCCCTTTCTGTTCTGCACAGCACTTAGCATTTTCTCAGGACCTATTGTTTATTGATGGTCCCTTCCTTCCCTCCCCCAGCCAGCATGTAAGTTCCAGAAGAACAGAAATTTTGTATCCTCTCTTCTTCTTTCTTTCCTGCAACAAACATTTAGTGAGCACTTACATGTATCGGATATGTGTGATATCCCGTGTGAAGGAGGGAGGGAGGGAGGGAATTGATGGAAACAGGGCAACAGAGGACAATTGCAGGCCCTATTAGGGCTTGGGACCTCAATTTGCAACTGCTGGCCCAGATGTGCAGTCAGTAGATGCTGCAGATAGTAGGCTAAAATGTTTGGTCGCTGCCCCTACTTAATCCCACCTCCATTATCTGTTGCTGCAGTTTGGTCTGACTTAGCTCAGTCTTCATGGATCAGAGGGCAGGTGCAGGCAGATACAACTTGACTCTCTGTCACAATTCTAAGAGGTCACAGGACCCATGCAGTCGACCTTTGTCATAGTCCCCAGACCTGACATCAGCAAGAGGGCAGGTTCCAGGCTGTAGATGGGGCGCAGGTGATGGGATCGTAGTCCGACTCCCAGGCTCCTAGAGGGTCCCTGATCTGAGCTGTTCTTCCCTCCACAGGGGGGCTCATTTGGCCGGGGCACAGACCTAAGGGATGGCTGTGATGTTGAACTCATCATCTTCCTCAACTGCTTCACGGACTACAAGGACCAGGGGCCCCGCCGCGCAGAGATCCTTGATGAGATGCGAGCGCAGCTAGAATCCTGGTGGCAGGACCAGGTGCCCAGCCTGAGCCTTCAGTTTCCTGAGCAGAATGTGCCTGAGGCTCTGCAGTTCCAGCTGGTGTCCACAGCCCTGAAGAGCTGGACGGATGTTAGCCTGCTGCCTGCCTTCGATGCTGTGGGTGAGGGCGCCCAGCCTGTCCCTTGGAGAGTGATAGGGACCTCAGGCGCCCATCTAACAGGGGCACCTGCCATCCTCTTTGTGATCCTAATTCTCCTACTTGACCAAGCATTGAAAACTACTTTGAGATACTGAAAGTAATCATCACCATCAAATCTTACAACTATTTAGTGCTTTAACTTTACAAATATTTTAATTATGAAATGTTTCAAGCATACAGAAAACTACAGACGTCACACACCCATGTAGCCCAATTCAGATTTAACAAATGTTAACAGTAGGCATATCTGCTTGGTATTTTTTTAAAGAAATTTCTCATGTTATAATTTTCTTCCTTATTTTAAAGGGTTTACTTTATGGTTCATTTTTTTTTAACTTTCGGAGGTGAATCTTAGCTTAGTAATTATCAGTTTTAGTCAATGCAATTAAAGCTACCCATTTCCCTTTCAGTATCACATTAGCTACAGGGCAAATCTTTTGTTTGACATGCATAATTTTTATTATCATTCCGGTCTAAATATTTAGTACTTTTAATTATGACATTATTGTTTGTTCTTTCATCCATGAATATTTGGAAGTAGCTTTCCAAATGAATGTTTTGGAGATTTGTTTGCTTTCGGCATTTACTTATTATGTTTTTTAAAACTGTAGTCAGAAAACATACTTTATGTGATATCAATTCTTTGGAATTTGTTGGCATTTCTTAGATTGCCCATGGTTGAAAAGAATGCATGCTTTCCATCCAGGCATGGTGGATCACACCTGTAATCCCAGCATTTTGGAAGGCCAATGCGGGCAGGTCACTTGAGGTCAGGAGTTCGAGACCAGCCTGGCCACAGTGAAACCCCATCTCCACTAAAAATACAAAAAAAAAAAAAAAAAAAAAAAATAGCCTGGCATGGTGGCACGCACCTGTAATCCCAGCTACTCGGGAGACTGAGGCAGGAAAATCTCTTGAACCTGGGAGGCAGAGGTTGCAGTGAGCTGAGATTGCACCACTGCACTCCAGCCTGAGAGACAGAGTGAGACTCTATCTCATGCTTTCCATTGCTGAATGCAGACTTCTATATAGGTCCTTTAGATCTAGCTTATGACTTCTTGCTCGGATAATTTTTTGTTTGGTCTCTCAATTTCTGAGTAAAATATCTTAAAATCTCCTGCTCTGAATGGATATTTATCCCTTGTTCCTTGCAATTCTGTAAATTTTGTTTTTAATATTTTGAGGCTATGTTATTGGGAACATATAAGTGCATAATATTATATTTTATTGGATTGTTCTTTTATTATTAAGTAATAATCTTCATTTCTGAAAGTTATCTTTGTCTTAAAGCCTTTTGTCTGACATTAATAGGGCTTTAGTCCTCCTTTGTCAGCATTTTCCTGACGTACCCTCTCTACTCTTTATTTACTAGCATGTGTTATTAAATTGTACCCATTACAGGCAGCACAAAGCTAAAAGACAAAAATGAAAGAAGCAACAATGATATAATGATCTTCAAGGGTTTGATAATATCTTGGAACTAAACTTCCAGACACTAATAATAGGGGAGATTATTTCTTTTGTTTTTGTTTTTACAATCTATGCAAATTAAACCCTATTAATATAATTAACAAATTTTTTCACCATTGCTACTTGATTTCCTGTTCTTCCTTCTGGATTCATTTTCCTTCTTACAGAAATACATCTTTTAGTACTTTTTCAGAAAGGGTTTATGAGTGACAAATTTTTCTCAGACTTTGTCTAAAACCATTTCTGTTTCACCTCCATGCTTGAATGGGATGCTTGACACTTGTTTTCCTTAGTTCTGCTGTCTTCTTACCTGTTGTTGCTGATGAGAAGTCTCTGTCAGTTATTGATTTTTTGTTGTTAATGATCTGTTTTCTGTTTGCATGCATGAATTTTGTTTGTTCATTTTCTTTTGATTTCCCTTTCAGTGGCTTTTAAGACTTTCTCTTGGTTCATAGTATCCTTCAGTTTCTCTTTGATGTATCTGTGTATAGAATTCTTTTTTTCTATGATTTTTTTATTATACTTTAAGTTCTAGGGTACATGTGCACAACATGCAGGTTTGTTACATATGTATACATGTGCCATGTTGGTGTGCTGCACCCATTAACTCGTCATTTACATTAGGTATATCTTCTAATGCTATCCCTCCCCACTCCCCCCACCCCACGACAGGCCCTGGTGTGTGATGTTCCCCACCCCGTGTCCAAGTGTTCTCATTGTTCAGTTCCCACCTATGAGTGAGAACATGTGGTGTTTGGTTTTCTGCTCCTGTGTTCGTTTGCTCAGAATGATGGTTTCCAACTTCATCCATGTCCCTACAAAGGACATGAACTCATCCTTTTTTATGGCTGCATAGTATTCCATAGTGTATATGTGCCACATTTTCTTAATCCAGTCTGTCATTGATGGACATTTGGGTTGGTTCCAAGTCTTTGCTCTTGTGAATAGTGCCACAATAAACATATGTGTGCATGTGTCTTTCTAGCAGCATGATTTATAATCCTTTGGGTATATACCCGGTAATGGGATGGCTGGGTCAAATGGTATTTCTAGTTCTAGATCCTTGAGGAATCACCACACTGTCTTCCACAATGGCTGAACTAGTTTACAGTCCCACCAACAGTGTAAAAGTGTTCCTATTTCTCCACATCCTCTCCAGCACCTGTTGTTTCCTGACTTTTTAATGATCGCCATTCTAACTGGTGTGAGATGGTATCTCATTGTGGTTTTGATTTGCATTTCTCTGATGGCCAGTGATGATGAGCATTTTTTCATGTGTCTGTTGGCTGCATAAATGTCTTCTTTTGAGAAGTGTCTGTTCATATCCTTTACCCACTTTTTGATGGGGTTGTTTGATTTTTTTCTTATAAATTTGTTTAAGTTCTTTGTAGATTCTGGATATTAGCCCTTTGTCAGATGAGTAGATTGTAAAAATTTTCTCCCATTCTGTAGGTTGCTTGTTCACTCTGATGGTAGTTTCTTTTGCTGTGCAGAAACTCTTTAGTTTAATTAGATCCCATTTGTCAGTTTTGGCTTCTGTTGCCATTGCTTTTGGTGTTTTAGTCATGAAGTCCTTGCCCATGCCTATGTCCTGAATGGTATTGCCTAGGTTTTCTTCTAGGGTTTTTATGGTTTTAGGTCTAAGATGTAAGTCTTTAATCCATCTTGAATTAATTTTGTATAAGGTGTAAGGAAAGGATACAGTTTCAGCTTTCTAGATATGGCTAGCCAGTTTTCCCAGCACTATTTATTAAATAGGGAATCCTTTCCCCATTTCTTGTTTGTCTGTTTGTTTGTTTGTTGTTGTTGTTGTTGTTGTTGTTTGAGATGGAGTCTCGCTCTGTTGCCTAGGCTGGAGTGCAGTGACGCGATCTCGGCTCACTGCAAGCTCCACCTCCCAGGTTCACACCATTCTCCTGCCTCAGCTTCCCTAGTAGCTGGGACTACAGGTGCCCGCCACCACATCTGGCTAATTTTTTTGTATTTTTTAGTAGAGACAGACAGGGTTTCACCATGTTAGCCAGGATGGTCTTGATCTCCCGACCTCGTGATCCACCCACCTCGGCCTCCCAAAGTGCTGGGATTACAGGCGTGAGCCACTGCGCCTGGCCCCATTTCTTGTTTTTGTCAGGTTTGTCAAAGATCAGATGGTTGTAGACATGTGGTGTTATTTCTGAGGGCTCTGTTCTATTCCATTGGTCTATATCTCTGTTTTGGTACAGTACCATGCTGTTTTGGTTACTGTAGTATAGTTTGAAGTCAGGTAGCGTGATGCCTCCAGCTTTGTTCTTTTGGCTTAGGATTGTCTTGGCAATGCAGGCTCTTTTTTGGTTTCATATGAACTTTAAAGTAGTTTTTTCCAATTCTGTGAAGAAAGTCATTGGTAGCTTGTTGGGGATGGCATTGAATCTATAAATTACCTTGGGCAATATGGCCATTTTCACAATATTGATTCTTCCTATCCATGAGCATGGAATGTTCTTCCATTTGTTTGTGTCCTGTTTTATTTCACTGAGCAGTGGTTTGTAGTTCTCCTTGAAGAAGTCCTTCACATCCATTGTAAGTTGGATTCCTGGGTATTTCATTCTCTTTGAAGCAATTGTGAATGGGAGTTCACTCATGATTTGGCTCTCTGTTTGTTTGTTATTGGTGTGTAGGAATGCTTGTGATTTTTGCACAGTGATTTTGTATCCTGAGACTTTGCTGAAGTTGCTTATCAGCTTAAGAACATTTTGGGCTGAGACGATGGGGTTTTCTAAATATACAATCATGTCATTTGCAAACAGGGACAATTTGACTTCCTCGTTTCCTAATTGAATACCCTTTATTTCTTTCTCCTGCCTTATTGCCCTGGCCAGAACTTCCAACACTATGTTGAATAGGAGTGGTGAGAGAGGGCATCCCTGTCTTGTGCCAGTTTCCAAAGGGAATGCTTCCAGTTTTTGCCCATTCAGTACGATATTGGCTGTGGGTTTGTCATAAATAACTCATTATTTTGAGATGCCTCCCATCAATACCTAGTTTATTGAGAGTTTTTAGCATGAAGGGCTGTTGAATTTTCTCAAAGGCCTTTTTGGCATCTATTGAAATAATCATGTGGTTTTTGTCTTTGGTTCTGCTTTTATGATGGATTACGTTTATTGATTTGTGTATGTTGAACCAGCCTTGCATCCCAAGGATGAAGCCAACTTGATCAGGGTGGATAAGCTTTTTGATGTGCTGCTGGATTCAGTTTGCCAGTATTTTATTGAGGATTTTTGCATAGATGTTTTATTGAGGATTTTCGCATAGATGTTCATCAGGGATATTGGTCTTTTTTTGTTGTGTCTCTGCCAGGCTTTGGTATCAGGATGATGCTGGCCTCATAAAATGAGTTATGGAGGATTCCCTCTTTTTCTATTGATTGGAAAAGTTTCAGAAGGAATGGTAACAGCTCCTCTTTGTACCTCTGGTAGAATTCGGCTGTGAATCCATCTGGTCCTGGACTTTTTTTGGTTGGTAGGCTATTAATTATTGCCTCAATTTCAGAGTCTGTTATTGGTCTATTCAGGGATTCAACTTCTTCCTGGTTTAGTCTTGGGAGCGTGTCTGTGTCCGGGAATTTATCCATTTTATCTAGATTTTCTAGTTTATTTGTGTAGAGGTGTTTATAGTATTCTCTGATGGTAGTTTGTATTTCTGTGTAATCGGTGGTGATATCCCCTTTATCATTTTTTATTGTGTCTATTCTATCCTTCTCTCTTTTCTTCTTTACTAGTCTTGCTAGCAGTCTATCAATTTTGTTCATCTTTTCAAAAAACCAGCTCTCGGATTCATTGATTTTTTGAAGGGTTTTTTGTGTCTCTGTCTCCTTCAATTCTGCTCTGATCTTAGTTATTTCCTGCCTTCTGCTAGCTTTTGAATGTGTTTGCTCTTGCTTCTCTAGTTCTTTTCATTGTGATGTTAGGGTGTCAATTTTAGATCTTTCTTGCTTTCTCCTGTGGTCATTTAATGCTATAAATTTCCCTCTACACACTGCTTTAAATGTGTCCCAGAGATTCTGGTATGTTGTGTCTTTGTTCTCATTGGTTTCAAAGAACATCTTTATTTCTGCCTTCATTTAGTTATGTACCAAGTAGTCATTCAGGAGCAGGTTGTTCAGTTTCCATGTAGTTGAGTGGTTTTGAGTGAGTTTCTTAATCCTGAGTTCTAGTTTGATTGCACTGTGGTCTGAGAGACAGCTTGTTATAATTTCTGTTCTTTTACATTTGCTGAGGAGTGCTTTTCTTCCAACCATGTGGTCAATTTTGGAATAAGTGTAATGTGGTGCTGAGAAGAATGTATATTCTGTTGATTTGGGGTGGACAGTTCTGTAGATGTCTATTAGGTCCGCTTGGTGCAGAGCTGAGTTCAATTCTTGGATATCCTTGTTAACTTTCTGTCTCATTGATCTGTTTAATGTTGACAGTGGGGTGTTACAGTCTCCCATTATTATTGTGTGGGAGTCTAAGTATCTTTGTAGGTCTCTAAGGACTTGCTTTATGAATCTGGGTGTTCCTGTATTGGGCGCATATATATTTAGGACAGTTAGCTCTTCTTGTTGAATTGATCCCTTTACCATTATGTAATGGCCTTCTTTGTCTCTTTTGATCTTTGTTGGTTTAAAGTCCCTTTTATCAGAGACTAGGATTGCAACCCTTGCTTTTTTTTGTTTTCCATTTGCTTGGTAGATCTTCCTCCATCCCTTTATTTTCAGTCTATGTGTGTCTCTGCATGTGAGCTGGGTCTCCTGAATACAGCACACTGATGGGTCTTGACTCTATCCAATTTGCCAGTCTGTGTCTTTTAATTGGAGCATTTAGTCCATTTACATTTAACGTTAATATTGTTATGTGTAAATTTGATCATGTCATTATGATGTTGGCTGGTTATTTTGCTCGTTAGTTGATGCAGTTTCTTCCTAGCATCGATGGTCTTTACAATTAGGCATGTTTTTGCAGTGGCTGGTACCGATTGTTCCTTTCCATGTTTAGTGCTTCCTTCAGGAGCTCTTGTAAGGCAGGCCTGGTGGTGACAAAATCTCTCAGCATTTGCTTGTCTGTAAAGGATTGTATTTCTCCTTCACTTATGAAGCTTAGGTTGACTGGATATGAAATTCTGGGTTGAAAATTCTTTTCTTTAAGAACGTCGAATATTGGCCCCCACTCTCTTCTGGCTTGTAGAGTTTCTGCCGAGAGATCTGCTGTTAGTCTGATGGGCTTCCCTTTGTGGGTAACTCGAGCTTTCTCTCTGGCTGCCCTTAACATTTTTTCCTTCATTTCAACTTTGGTGAATCTGACAATTATGTGTCTTGGAGTTGGTCTTCTCGAGGAGTATCTTTGTGGTGTTCTCTGTATTTCCTGAATTTTAATGTTGGCCTGCCTTGCTAGGTTGGGGAAGTTCTCCTGGATAATATCCTGCAGAGTGTTTTCCAACTTGGTTCCATTCTCCCTGTCACTTTCCGGTACACCAATCAGACATAGATTTGATCTTTTCATATAGTCCCATCTTTCTTGGAGGCTTTGTTCATTTCTTTTTACTCTTTTTTCTCTAAACTTCTCTTCTCACTTCATTTCATTCATTTGATCTTCAATCACTGATACCCTTTCTTCCACTTGATAGAATCGGCCACTGAAGCTTGTGCATGCATCACGTAGTTCTTGTGCCATGATTTTCAGCTCCATCAGGTCATTTAAGGTCTTTTCTATGCTGTTCATTCTAGTTAGCCATTCGTTTAATCTTTTCTCAAGGTTTTTAGCTTCTTTGTGATAGGTTTGAACATCCTCCTTTAGCTCGGAGAAGTTTGTTATTACCAATTGTCTGAAGCCTTCTTCTCTCAACTCATCAAAGTCATTCTCCATCCAGCTTTGTTCCATTGCTTGCGAGGAGCTGCGTTCCTTTGGAGGAGAAGAGGCGCTCTGATTTTTAGAATTTTCAGCTTTTCTGCTCTGGTTGCCCCCCATCTTTGTGGCTTTATCTACCTTTGGTCTTTGATGATGGTGACGTACAGATGGGATTTTGGTGTGGATGTCCTTTCTGTTTGTTAGTTTTCCTTCTAACAGTCAGGACCCTCAGCTGCAGGTCTGTTGGAGTTTGCTGGAGGTCCACTCCAGACCCTGTTTGCCTGGATATCACCAGTGGAGGCTGCAGAACAGCAAATATTGCAGAACTGCAAATATTGCTGCCTGATCCTTCCTTTGGAAGCTTCGTCTCAGAGGGGCACCCAGCCATATGAGGTGTCAGTCGGCCCCTACGGGGAAGTGCCTCCCAGTTAGGCTACTCGGGGGTCAGGGACCCACTTGAGGAGGCAGTCTGTCCGTTCTCAGATCTCAAACTCCATGCTGGGAGAACCACTACTCTCTTCAAAGCTGTCAGACAGGGACGTTTAAGTCTGCAGAAGTTTCTGCTGCCTTTTGTTCAGCTATGCCCTGCCTCCAGAGATGGAGTCTACAGAGGCAGGCAGGCCTCCTTGAGCTGCAGTGGGCTCCACCCAGTTCGAGCTTCCCAGCCACTTTGTTTACCTACTCAAGCCTCAGCAATGGTGGATGCCCCTCCCCTAGCCTCGCTTCTGCCTTGCAGTTCAATCTCAGACTGCTGTGCTAACAGTGAATGAGGCTCCGTGGGCGTGTGACCCTCCGTGCCAGGTGCAGGATATAATCTCCTGGTGTGCCGTTTGCTAAGACCATTGGAAAAGCACAGTATTAGGGTGGGAGTGTCTCGATTTTCCAGGTACCATCTGTCATGGCTTCCTTTGGATAGGAAAGGGAATTCCCCGACCCCTTGCACTTCCCAGGTGAGGCGACGCCCTGCCCTGCTTCGGCTCATGGTCCGTGGGTTGTACCCACTGTCCAACAAGCCACAGTGAGAGGAGTGAGAGGAACCCAGTACCTCAGTTGGAAATGCAGAAATCACCCATCTTCTGTGTCACTCACGCTGGGAGCTGTAGACTGGAGCTGTTCCTATTCAGCCATCTTGGAACCTCCTCTCTGGATTTCTTTTTAATTTGTCCTCTTTGAAATGTGCTGTCCCTCCTGAATCTGAGAGCTCAATTCTTCCTTTAGTTTTAGGGAGAGGTCTTCCAATAGCTCTTCAAATACTGCCTCTCCCCTATTTTGTCTATTCTCTACTTCTGGAACTCCTGTTAGATGGTTTCTTATCTCATCCTCCATGGCTTTTCATCTCTCTCATTGTTCCCATCTCTTTGTCTATCAGGGCTGTCTGTTTTTCAGTTTCTTGGACCTGTCTTCTGGTTTATAAACTCTATTCAAATAATGTCTACTCTGCTGCTTATCCTTAATTTTTTAAAATTTCAGTGACTTTTTCACCTCTAAAAGTTATGTTTCTCTCTTTCTTAAATCAATCAGTTATTTGTTCATAGGCTTCGATTCTTTCACTGTGGTTTCAGTTTCTTTGATGTCTTCAATAATTTCCAACATGCTTATTTTAGTGTCTCAGATTGTCCTATTAACTCAAATTCTTGAGGTGCTAATTTTCCTATTTGTTGTGTCACCTGACTCTCCCTCATGGTCAATCATTTCCTCATATAGTTTGTAATTTTTTATTGTGAACTCATCTTTGGGGTTTGTGGAGATTTTGTTGTCTTTGCTTTTCCTGTGGAAGTTCCTTGTGCCCTGGGTTGGAGAAATATTACCCTTGGGACCAAGTTTTCACTTCATTTCTACCTGGACTCCAAGAGTTTCACTAATTCCCAGGCTAGATTATGCATTAATTTAACAGTCTGGGATTTCCTCACCATGCAGATACTGTAAATTTGGACTTCACATCCACATCTAGCACAGGATCGGGGTCCCAGTTTCTCACAGGGGATTTTCTTTTTTCCCCCACCCAGAGCCCTAGCAGCAAGCTTCCTTGAAGCCCCTCTCTGCCAGTGGACAACCTTTTGCAGTCACTTTTCATGAAGAAGGCATTTATTTTAGAGGCCAGCCTTATGAAAGTGAAGGACAAGACTCAATTGTAGCTTCCTCTCTGTGTCTTGTTTTTCTTTTTCTGGAAGATAACGTTAATAATAGCAATAATTACTGCTTATTGAGCATATGATGTATTCTACATACTGTTCTAAGCACTTCACATGTAGATTTCAATTGATTCTTACAATAGCCTTAGAAGGATAGGTGCTATTTATGATCTCCCTTTTACAGATGAGGAAACTAGACCCGAAGAGGTAAAAATCACACAGCTTGGATTTGAACCCAGGCTTATCTGTCTCCAAAGCTCACTCCTTTAACCACTATGTGACACAGCTTTTCTGGCTCAAGATTATCCATCTTTCAGCTTTCAGGGAAAATTTAAAAAACAAAAAATAAATAGAAGATTATCCACTGTGCAGTTACTGGATGGATTAGCAAAAAATATTGAAAAGCATCCAGTACAGAATTGATACTGAAAAAATGATAGCTCTGATTGTTATTCAATGTTATAGTGTATTATTGATTGCAATGTTAGGTGATTAATGTTAGAATATTCATAAAGGCTGGTGAATGGATGGGTTGGTAAATGCTGCTGTCTTCAATTGGAGTTGCACACTCAGGGTGTTTCAAACTTCTACAGGGCAGCTCAGTTCTGGCACCAAACCAAATCCCCAGGTCTACTCGAGGCTCCTCACCAGTGGCTGCCAGGAGGGCGAGCATAAGGCCTGCTTCGCAGAGCTGCGGAGGAACTTCATGAACATTCGCCCTGTCAAGCTGAAGAACCTGATTCTGCTGGTGAAGCACTGGTACCGCCAGGTGAGTTGCCCCTGGCTCCTCCCAGGAAGCCACCACTGTCATGGCAACCACCCCAGCCAATCAGTTCCTCCTCTACACCCACATCTCCCCTCCTTTGCTTCTTATTGGTCATCCAGAGCAGAAGGACCGGCCTCCTCCATCCTCCATTTCCTGCCCAGATCTGGAAGCCACTGTTAGAAAAAAATCTCTTCTCCATCAAGTCTAAAGTCTTCATTTCTTGTACCTGGGGTTCACTTTAGCCCATCCACTTCTCTCTTTTGACACTGCAAATGTTTTCTCTGTTTTTCCCCCACCTCCAAGCCGTTGCTTATGATATTACCCCCACCACATGTCTATTTTTAGAAAAGAAAACTCCCCTTTCTGGAAGCCTAGAGCTGGCAATGACCACCATATGGTAAGGGCCTGTCCAAGACAGAAAAACCAGAGCACTTGAACAGAAAAGATCTGAACAGAAAAGCTGATGACTCCTTATGGGCTTCTGGATCAAGCTGTGCCTGAAAGCAGATCTACTCCAAGGCTTTTGGGTTACATCAGCCAATACATTCTTTCATAGCCTTTTTTTTTTTTGAGAAAGTGTCTCCCTTTGTCATCCAGGCTGGAGTGCTGTGGCACAATTACAGCTCGCTGCAGCCTCGACCTTCTGGGCTCAAGTAGTCCTCCTGCCTCAGCCCCCGTAGTAGCTAAGACTACAGGCATGCACTACTACACCTGGCTGATTTTTGTACTTTTTGTAGAGACAGGAGTCTTACCATGTTGCCCAGGTTAGTCTAGAACTTCTGGGCTCAAGTAATCCACCCACCTTGGCCTCCCAAAATGCTAGAATTACAGGCACAAGCCACCATGCCCCAGCCTTGTTGCCTCTTTTGAGTTGCACTAAATTCTGAACATCCTTCGGAGCTCCCTTACTAAATACTTCTCTGAATTCTGACTTGTATTCATGCATCCCTATATTCAACAAACATCTATCGAGCACCTGCTATTTCTAACTTGTGATGGACACTGGGATACCAAGATGGATACATTGCAGCCCCTATTCCTGTACAACCACCCCATGTTATGTGATTAATGTTAAAATATTCCTAAAGGCTGCTGATGGATGGATTCGTCAATGCTTCCGTCTTCAATTAGAGTTACACACTCAAGATGTTTCAAATTTCCAATTTCCTTGAGGGGAGACACTAGGCAAAAGCCACGTCTGAGCTCTCAGTCTCACTGTATGACCTTAGACAAGTCACTACCCTCCTCTGAACCTCAGTTTACCCACCTGTAAAATGAGAAGCATCAGCAAGTTTCTATTCTTTCTGCGCTTCTATTTTCTATATTCCCTTCCTGCCCCAAGTGCTTATGGCCACACTCAGCTCACATCCACTAATCACTCATCTTTGGTTGGCCTTGTGTGACACAGGTTGCGGCTCAGAACAAAGGAAAAGGACCAGCCCCTGCCTCTCTGCCCCCAGCCTATGCCCTGGAGCTCCTCACCATCTTTGCCTGGGAGCAGGGCTGCAGGCAGGATTGTTTCAACATGGCCCAAGGCTTCCGGACGGTGCTGGGGCTCGTGCAACAGCATCAGCAGCTCTGTGTCTACTGGACGGTCAACTATAGCACTGAGGACCCAGCCATGAGAATGCACCTTCTTGGCCAGCTTCGAAAACCCAGGTGAAGACCCGCTTCCCTTTGCCTGGCTTCATTATCCTCCCCCTCCCCACTGTCACCCTGGAGTCAGTCATCCAGGAGGAGTCCAAGGTAGGGTTTGGGGTGGCAATCCCACTCCTCACTCTGCTTCCCTCTGGACTCTTTGCTGAGGAAGTGTGGACATAAGGAGTCCCAAAAGAAACCAGGGCCAGTTTTATTAGCATGATAAAATAGTATTTCTCAGTTGAAGGGGCCACCCAATAGCTTTCCAACCAAGGCAGCCAATTGAGATCGCTTCTGCACTTGGGCAAGACTGAGCCAACCCTGAGGTCCTGACACTCTTTCCAGCCCTCACGCCCCTTTTCAGCCCTTCCACCCGCCTCCTCTTTCACTGACTCCCACCTTCCCCACCCACCTTCCTGCTGTGCCCCCAGACCCCTGGTCCTGGACCCCGCTGATCCCACCTGGAACGTGGGCCACGGTAGCTGGGAGCTGTTGGCCCAGGAAGCAGCAGCGCTGGGGATGCAGGCCTGCTTTCTGAGTAGAGACGGGACATCTGTGCAGCCCTGGGATGTGATGGTAAGATGGAGGGTCCTGGGGGGCAGGGGGCCCTGCACCCTGCCTTCTAGTCAGGTTCCCTTAACCTGCCGGTGCACCCATCCCCAGCTGCTAGGAGTGTTGGTGGCTGACAACTCATAGCCACCCCTTCTCTGGAGACTTGCCTTTCATGAAATGCACAGATTGCTACGTCCCAGCCAGTGCCTGAGTGACACAGGGTTACAAAAAGCCTAACTCTGTCTCCAGGCGGAACCGATTCTGTGATGCAACTCACGTTCCAGCGCTCCCTGTGGAATCAGGCAAACACTTGTCTCCGGCTGAGCACCCAGCTTTGCTGAGCCTCTTCTCTGCCCTCTGCTGCTGTCCTTGTTCCACTTCTCCTCCAAGCACTGCCCCAATTAATCATATGCACAAGAATTCCTGCCATGGACCCTGCTTCTAGGAAAACTGAGACATAAGCCACTTGCAGCTCCCAAAAGGATATGATTTTATCACATTTACTATTTTGCAGCAGGGTCTCATAACCAGCATTTAATACTCAGGACAATCCATTGAGACCCGGACTTCATTATTGCACTCATTTAAACATGGGGAAACTGAGACTGTGTATTGATGCTGGAACCAAAATTCAATCTCAGGTCCTTCTGATGCTACCTCAGAACCTACCCACCAGCTGAGAAGGAAAGAGGGACATGGGAGACAGTGGGAGTCTTGTCCTCAGAGGACATCAAGGGGCAGGGCTTGGGTGAGCACTGGGAGTCCCGTCTCAAGCTGGCCCCACCTGGATTCTCTCTGCAGCCAGCCCTCCTTTACCAAACCCCAGCTGGGGACCTTGACAAGTTCATCAGTGAATTTCTCCAGCCCAACCGCCAGTTCCTGGCCCAGGTGAACAAGGCCGTTGATACCATCTGTTCATTTTTGAAGGAAAACTGCTTCCGGAATTCTCCCATCAAAGTGATCAAGGTGGTCAAGGTGAGTCCTCAGAGAGCTGTAGGCAAGCAGTGTCCTGCAAGCTGGTGATCTCTCCCAGCCCAGGGCCAGGCTTGACCCACTTCCGCCCTCGTAGCAAACAGCAAAAAGCCAGGCATAGAGAAAGAGCTGGAAAGTGGTCATGGGAGGATGGCAGAGAGAGGGCCCAGATATGTCCAACAAGTCTCTTTTGGTTGCTAGTGACACCTAACTCAAAAGACACAACAAAGGAATGTATTGACTGATGTAACTGGAAAGTCCTGGGTAGGGCTGCTTACCGGCATAGCTAGATCCAGGAGCCCAGGCAGCATCATCAGGACTCAGTTTTTCTCTCCAGTTCTCGGTTCTGCTTTTTAATGTCTTGGATAGGCCCTTAACATATGGTGGTCTTTGGCAGCTCTAAGCTTCCAGAAAGGGGAACTTGTTTTTTCTTAAAATTCAAATAAAAGTCTTGGAATTGAGTCTCATTGGCCTGGCTTGGGTAACCTACCAACCCCCAAACTAGTTACTGGGGCTAGGGAGACATTATGCTCTGGATGGCCAAGACTGGGTCACATGGTGAAGTGGCCCCCGCCTAGTCCTCATGGGCTGAGTGTGGGGTAGGAGTGGTCCCTCCAAAGAACACCAGGATGCTGATCCCAGGTGGAAAGGACGCTGGGGGTGTACAAAAGGTCACACTGTCCACGGCCCTGGATACAGCCTCAGTCCACAGTTGGAGAGACAAGTGAGACCCAGATCAGCTCAGAAAGAGTGTTAGCATAAAGCCAGCCAGTGAACAGTGCCAGGGATGCTGGTTTGCTGTGTGACCATAGGCATGTACCTTCCCCTCTCTGATCCTCACGTTCCTGATTTCTAACACTTGAGGAGAGTGGCTTGGATCACTGGCTCTCAACTCTGGCTCCCCTGGCTTGACCTTGGAATTACAGTTTTTTAAAAATATGCTGATGCCCAAGCCCCAACCCAGGAAAACTTAAATCACAGTCTTGTGGGGTGGGAGCCAGCCATTAGTCGTTGGTAAAAGCCTTCCAGGTGCAGACAGGCTTGGGAGCTGCAGGCCCAAAAAACCAACCAACAAACAAAACACTTCTCAAATCCTCTCCAGTCACAAAACATGATGGAATGAGAAATTTTGCATTTGTTGAAGGGTTTAAACTTACCTCTTGCACGCTTCTTTTTCTTACAATCTTAAATACAGTCTTTCTTACCATATTAAAGATCTAACACAGAGAGGTTAGATGACTTGTCCAAGGTCACACAGTAGGTTTTCTAACTCACAGTCCAGAACCGACAGGCTAAGCCATGCTTCAAGGGTTGAGCCACCTGCCATGTCCTCTCCAGGGTGGCTCTTCAGCCAAAGGCACAGCTCTGCGAGGCCGCTCAGATGCCGACCTCGTGGTGTTCCTCAGCTGCTTCAGCCAGTTCACTGAGCAGGGCAACAAGCGGGCCGAGATCATCTCCGAGATCCGAGCCCAGCTGGAGGCATGTCAACAGGAGCGGCAGTTCGAGGTCAAGTTTGAAGTCTCCAAATGGGAGAATCCCCGCGTGCTGAGCTTCTCACTGACATCCCAGACGATGCTGGACCAGAGTGTGGACTTTGATGTGCTGCCAGCCTTTGACGCCCTAGGTGAGGTGCCCTGGCGTAGACCTGAGAGGGGGAAATACAGAGGCAGGGCCGCCATGGGCAGTTGTAGAGGTTGCACAGTACACAACCAGGCCACATCTGTTCGCATCATTGCAGGCATTGTAGTTGTGTATGTTCATCACAACTTTCCTGCAAAGTATCTAAAGAAGAGGGCCCCTTTTTCTAATTTGCGCAGGCACTCTGTGGGCTAACAGTGGCCTCAAGCTGGGTTCCAGTCTGAGCAATTCCACCAACATGCTGGATGACCTTGAACAAGGGACTTCCCCGTCCTGAGCCCCAGTGTCTTTATCTCACATCTGACAGTAAGGACACTGATGTTTCTTGCACATTCCCAGCTTTGAATGGTTTGTGTGCCACCCACCTCCTCCACCTGCTGCAGATCCATTCATTCAGTTCATTCAATACATGCATCTACTCTGTGCCCAGTGCTCTTCCAGGCACCAAAAATAAAGCCTTGAACAAAATAGACACAACTCTCTTCATATCTTTTCAACTCTCAGTTTGATTAGCAGTTTTCAGAGTGAGAAATTCCCTTGTATCCGAATTTATTTGGTTTCTGAGTTTGAGGGAGCAGGTGGCCAAGGGAGGGATTCATGCAGAATTTTTTTTTAAGAGACAGGGTCTTACTTTATCACCTGGCCTGGAGTGCAGTGGCACCATCATGACTCAATGCAGCCTCAAACTCCTGGGCTCAAGTGATCCTCCAGCCCCAGCGTCCTGAGAAACTGGGACTACAGGTGCACACCACCACACCTGGCTAATTTATAGAATTTTTTGTAGAGATGGGGATATGACTATGTTGCCCAGGCTGATCTGAAACTCCTGGCCACATATGATCCTCCTGCAGTGGCCTTCGAGAGTGCTGGGATTACAGACGTAAGCCACTGCACCCAGCCCAGAAATTTATCTGAATCTACTCAGTTCTTCAGTTCAGAGAGCAAGAATTTGGATATTAAGGAATGCCTTTAAGTGCAATGTAACCAGAATGGTGATGTCAACTCCATACACAGCTCTGTTACCTGCAGGAGGATGTAAGACTGAGGCCTGCCCTCCCTCGGTTAGACAGAAAGATAAGTAAGTATTAGAGAGGTGTTAAAGACAGGCTAGCTCCCAGCTGAGACTTTTTCCAAGATAGGTAAGCAGATGGTTTGAAAGGGAGCAGAAAAGGGAGGATGACTGTCACCAGGGATTTAATGTGGATCAGGCCACATCTGTGTTCCACCTAAAAACACCCTGTGGCCTCCCAGTGGATCCCAGACCACCCTTAGGAAAACACCCAAGAGGTAGGAGATCTCAGAAGTCCTTTCTAAGTTGGCCCCACTGGGACAACATGGGAGCCGGAGTGATGGTAACCATCTCCCCATCTCCAGGCCAGCTGGTCTCTGGCTCCAGGCCCAGCTCTCAAGTCTACGTCGACCTCATCCACAGCTACAGCAATGCGGGCGAGTACTCCACCTGCTTCACAGAGCTACAACGGGACTTCATCATCTCTCGCCCTACCAAGCTGAAGAGCCTGATCCGGCTGGTGAAGCACTGGTACCAGCAGGTTCGGCACATGGATAGGCCACCTTCCTAAGTTGCCCTGGGATCTGCCTCTGGAGCACTTTCCTGGGAGGAAGCAGGGCCCAGCCCTGGCCAAGATCCTGGGTTGGTGGAGCAGAGCAGAAAGAGTGCTATATCTCAGCTGTGGGACCTTAGTTTTCTTATCTGTAAGATGGGGGTGATAAAACTATGTCACAGGATGTGATGGGATAATGCATGGCAAGGCATCTGGCACATGTAGGTGCTCAATAAAAGTTTTGGGGTTGCTTTGCCAAGTCCAGAATAATCCCTTCTGTACCTCATCAGTGCCAATATGAACCAACATATCTTTCTTCTCGTTCTCCAGTGTACCAAGATCTCCAAGGGGAGAGGCTCCCTACCCCCACAGCACGGGCTGGAACTCCTGACTGTGTATGCCTGGGAGCAGGGCGGGAAGGACTCCCAGTTCAACATGGCTGAGGGCTTCCGCACGGTCCTGGAGCTGGTCACCCAGTACCGCCAGCTCTGTATCTACTGGACCATCAACTACAACGCCAAGGACAAGACTGTTGGAGACTTCCTGAAACAGCAGCTTCAGAAGCCCAGGTTCAGGTCTACCCCCAATGTTCCAGAATTTCAAACCTGGGATCACTCACTCTCCCCACTTTCTAGATTGCAGAGCAGAGATGGGAAAACACTCTTCCTAGAACGGATTCCTTCCTAGAAGTTATATTTGTAGTACCTGAGGGACAAACGGTCAATTTTCTGGTCACCCAGGAATAGGGTTGCCAGATAAAACGCAAGACCCCAAGTTAAATTTGAATTTCAGATAAACAATGAATAACTTCTTAGTATAAGTATGCTCGATGCCATATTTGAGACATAATTACGCTTAAAAATTTATTCACTGTTTATCTGAAAGTCAAATTTAACTGGGCATCCTGGTTTTTTGTTGTTGTTGTTGTTTGTTTGTTTGTTTTTGTCACCCAGGCTGGAGTGCAATGGCGCGATCTTGGCTCACTGCAACCCTCCGCCTCCCGGGTTCAAGCAATTCTTCTGCCTCAGCCTCCTGAGTAGCTGGGACCAGAGGCGCATGCCACCAGGTCCAGCTAATTTTTGTATTTTTAGTTGAGACAGGGGTTTCACCATGTTGGCCAGGCTGATCTCAAACTCCTGGCCTCAAGTGATCGCCTGCCTAGGCCTCCCAAAGTGCTGGGATTACAGGCATGAGCCACTGTGCCCAGCCTTGTATTTGTATTTGTTAAATCTGACCACCCTACCTGTGAACCCACCCAGGTGCCATAAGCATGTTTCATTCTTTGGGATTTTGCCTACCTCTGAAATGGGTACAGAGATAATAGAGATGCTTTTGCAAACTCAAGATGCATCTCCAGTCAGTGGGGAGTGGCTACTTAGAATGATGTGTTGAAAAAGCTTCTAAGGTTGTGATTTGACTCAGCTGGAAAGAGTAGGCTAACCAGCTAGTAGTGTCCAAAGGTTGAGCATCCCAAATGCAAAAATTCAAAATCTGAAAATGGCCCAGAATTTGAAGCTTTTTGACCACCAAAAAATATGCTCAAGGAAAATGCTTATTGGAGCATTTTGGATTTTCAAATTAGGGATTCTTAACTGGTAAGTAAGGCAAAGGTCCAAAATCTGAAAAAATTTGAAGTCCAAAACACTTCTGGTCCCAAGCATTTTAGATAAGAAATACTCAACCTGTATCATGGATGCAGGAGGGGAGAGTTGTGGAACCAGTGTTGTGATTGATTAACAATGCCTCCCCTGAATAAGGAAGGGGTAAGCGGTAGCACCGTGGTTGATTAGTAATGTTTGCCTGAATGCAGAATGGCAAAGTGGCCATGTGTGTCTTATTTTCTATACCTGCCCTGTAGTGTATAGGAGCACTGAGGAATCTCTGAGCCCTGGCTCTAGCCCCTGCAAAGTGTTAGATAAAAGGGGAAAATAGTCCAACCAGTGCCACAGGTGGACACCTAGATGTTGCCAGGAATAAGACTGTCCCTGGGTGGGAATTGCAGGCCTATCATCCTGGATCCGGCTGACCCGACAGGCAACCTGGGCCACAATGCCCGCTGGGACCTGCTGGCCAAGGAAGCTGCAGCCTGCACATCTGCCCTGTGCTGCATGGGACGGAATGGCATCCCCATCCAGCCATGGCCAGTGAAGGTGAGAGATCTGTGGTGCCAAAGGAAGTACCCTTTAGGGGTAAGGGGGGAGCATGGTCAGGGGAGGGACATGATTCCCACTAAAGGGGCAGGGCCCAGTGATGGCCCCAGGTATGCCCCTGTGCTTCCATTTTCCCATCCGGCTGTGTGGTCTCAGCTTCTGCAGAAAGAATGGGGTTACCAACATCTCTTATAATACTTCCCCAGGCTGCTGTGTGAAGTTGAGAAAATCAGCGGTCCTACTGGATGAAGAGAAGATGGACACCAGCCCTCAGCATGAGGAAATTCAGGGTCCCCTACCAGATGAGAGAGATTGTGTACATGTGTGTGTGAGCACATGTGTGCATGTGTGTGCACACGTGTGCATGTGTGTGTTTTAGTGAATCTGCTCTCCCAGCTCACACACTCCCCTGCCTCCCATGGCTTACACACTAGGATCCAGACTCCATGGTTTGACACCAGCCTGCGTTTGCAGCTTCTCTGTCACTTCCATGACTCTATCCTCATACCACCACTGCTGCTTCCCACCCAGCTGAGAATGCCCCCTCCTCCCTGACTCCTCTCTGCCCATGCAAATTAGCTCACATCTTTCCTCCTGCTGCAATCCATCCCTTCCTCCCATTGGCCTCTCCTTGCCAAATCTAAATAGTTTATATAGGGATGGCAGAGAGTTCCCATCTCATCTGTCAGCCACAGTCATTTGGTACTGGCTACCTGGAGCCTTATCTTCTGAAGGGTTTTAAAGAATGGCCAATTAGCTGAGAAGAATTATCTAATCAATTAGTGATGTCTGCCATGGATGCAGTAGAGGAAAGTGGTGGTACAAGTGCCATGATTGATTAGCAATGTCTGCACTGGATACGGAAAAAAGAAGGTGCTTGCAGGTTTACAGTGTATATGTGGGCTATTGAAGAGCCCTCTGAGCTCGGTTGCTAGCAGGAGAGCATGCCCATATTGGCTTACTTTGTCTGCCACAGACACAGACAGAGGGAGTTGGGACATGCATGCTATGGGGACCCTCTTGTTGGACACCTAATTGGATGCCTCTTCATGAGAGGCCTCCTTTTCTTCACCTTTTATGCTGCACTCCTCCCCTAGTTTACACATCTTGATGCTGTGGCTCAGTTTGCCTTCCTGAATTTTTATTGGGTCCCTGTTTTCTCTCCTAACATGCTGAGATTCTGCATCCCCACAGCCTAAACTGAGCCAGTGGCCAAACAACCGTGCTCAGCCTGTTTCTCTCTGCCCTCTAGAGCAAGGCCCACCAGGTCCATCCAGGAGGCTCTCCTGACCTCAAGTCCAACAACAGTGTCCACACTAGTCAAGGTTCAGCCCAGAAAACAGAAAGCACTCTAGGAATCTTAGGCAGAAAGGGATTTTATCTAAATCACTGGAAAGGCTGGAGGAGCAGAAGGCAGAGGCCACCACTGGACTATTGGTTTCAATATTAGACCACTGTAGCCGAATCAGAGGCCAGAGAGCAGCCACTGCTACTGCTAATGCCACCACTACCCCTGCCATCACTGCCCCACATGGACAAAACTGGAGTCGAGACCTAGGTTAGATTCCTGCAACCACAAACATCCATCAGGGATGGCCAGCTGCCAGAGCTGCGGGAAGACGGATCCCACCTCCCTTTCTTAGCAGAATCTAAATTACAGCCAGACCTCTGGCTGCAGAGGAGTCTGAGACATGTATGATTGAATGGGTGCCAAGTGCCAGGGGGCGGAGTCCCCAGCAGATGCATCCTGGCCATCTGTTGCGTGGATGAGGGAGTGGGTCTATCTCAGAGGAAGGAACAGGAAACAAAGAAAGGAAGCCACTGAACATCCCTTCTCTGCTCCACAGGAGTGCCTTAGACAGCCTGACTCTCCACAAACCACTGTTAAAACTTACCTGCTAGGAATGCTAGATTGAATGGGATGGGAAGAGCCTTCCCTCATTATTGTCATTCTTGGAGAGAGGTGAGCAACCAAGGGAAGCTCCTCTGATTCACCTAGAACCTGTTCTCTGCCGTCTTTGGCTCAGCCTACAGAGACTAGAGTAGGTGAAGGGACAGAGGACAGGGCTTCTAATACCTGTGCCATATTGACAGCCTCCATCCCTGTCCCCCATCTTGGTGCTGAACCAACGCTAAGGGCACCTTCTTAGACTCACCTCATCGATACTGCCTGGTAATCCAAAGCTAGAACTCTCAGGACCCCAAACTCCACCTCTTGGATTGGCCCTGGCTGCTGCCACACACATATCCAAGAGCTCAGGGCCAGTTCTGGTGGGCAGCAGAGACCTGCTCTGCCAAGTTGTCCAGCAGCAGAGTGGCCCTGGCCTGGGCATCACAAGCCAGTGATGCTCCTGGGAAGACCAGGTGGCAGGTCGCAGTTGGGTACCTTCCATTCCCACCACACAGACTCTGGGCCTCCCCGCAAAATGGCTCCAGAATTAGAGTAATTATGAGATGGTGGGAACCAGAGCAACTCAGGTGCATGATACAAGGAGAGGTTGTCATCTGGGTAGGGCAGAGAGGAGGGCTTGCTCATCTGAACAGGGGTGTATTTCATTCCAGGCCCTCAGTCTTTGGCAATGGCCACCCTGGTGTTGGCATATTGGCCCCACTGTAACTTTTGGGGGCTTCCCGGTCTAGCCACACCCTCGGATGGAAAGACTTGACTGCATAAAGATGTCAGTTCTCCCTGAGTTGATTGATAGGCTTAATGGTCACCCTAAAAACACCCACATATGCTTTTCGATGGAACCAGGTAAGTTGACGCTAAAGTTCTTATGGAAAAATACACACGCAATAGCTAGGAAAACACAGGGAAAGAAGAGTTCTGAGCAGGGCCTAGTCTTAGCCAATATTAAAACATACTATGAAGCCTCTGATACTTAAACAGCATGGCGCTGGTACGTAAATAGACCAATGCAGTTAGGTGGCTCTTTCCAAGACTCTGGGGAAAAAAGTAGTAAAAAGCTAAATGCAATCAATCAGCAATTGAAAGCTAAGTGAGAGAGCCAGAGGGCCTCCTTGGTGGTAAAAGAGGGTTGCATTTCTTGCAGCCAGAAGGCAGAGAAAGTGAAGACCAAGTCCAGAACTGAATCCTAAGAAATGCAGGACTGCAAAGAAATTGGTGTGTGTGTGTGTGTGTGTGTGTGTGTGTGTGTTTAATTTTTAAAAAGTTTTTATTGAGATACAAGTCAATACCATAAAGCTCTCACCCTTCTAAAGTGTACAATTCAGTGGTGTGAGTATATTCATAAGATTTATACTTGGTGTCTATTCATAAGACTTATATCCAGCATATTCATAACTAGAGCCATATCACAGATGCATTCATCATAATAATTCCAGACATTTTCATCACCCTAAAAGGAAACCCTGAAACCCATTAGCAGTCATTCCCCATTCCTCCAACCCATTCTCTCCCTAATCCCTAGAAACCACCAATCTGCTGTGTATTTCATCTATTGCCAACATTTCATATAAATGGCATCATACAATATGTGGCCTTTTGTGTCTGGCTTCTTTAACTTAACATGTTTTCAAGATTCATTCATGTTATAGTATATGTTGAGGTTTCATTCCTTTTTATTTCCGAAAGACATTTCCACTGCATAAATTGACTACATTTTGTTTATCCATTCTTCCATTGATAGGTATTTGGATATTCTCCACTTTTTTGCTATTTTGCTGCATTTTTTGCTATTATGACTAATAGCTGCTATGGACACTCTTGTATGAGATTTTGTGCAGACATATGTTTTCATTTTTCTTACGTATAAAAGGCGATCCACAATTGATGACCCCATCATAAGTCAAGGAGCATCTGTGTGCTGTATTAATCAGAGTTCTCCAGAAAAACCAAACCATTAGAATAGAGGAAGAGATATATAAAGAGATTTATTATGAGGGTTTGACTTGTGTGATTATGGAGTCTGAGAAGTTTTGTGATCCACCGTCTGCAAGCTGGAGACTCAGGAAATCCAGTGGTTGTAGTTTCAGACCAATTCAGAAGGCTGAGAACCAGGAGATTGCTGGAATAAGTCCCAATCCAAGTATGAAAGCCCAAGAACCAGGAGCATCAATATTCGAGTGCAGACGACAGATGCCTCAGCTCATGCAGGGAGAGAAAATTTGCTGTTCCTCTTTTTGTTCTATTCAGGCCTCCAGTGGATTGGAAGATGCACACTCACCCTGGTGAGGGCTGTCTTCTCTACTCAGTCTACAGATTGAAATACTAATCTCTTCCAGGAACATGCTCACAGGCACATCCAGAAATAACATTTTACCAGCCATCTGGGCGTCCCTTAACCCCGTCCAGCAGACACATAAAATTAACCCTCATGTATACCTAGGAGTGGAATTGCTGGATCACGTGATAACTCTATGTTTAGCCATTTGAGAACTGCCAGACTGTTTTCCACAGTGGCTGCACCATTTATACACACCCACCCCTGGCAGTGAATGAAAGTTCCAGTTTCTCTGTATCCTTGCCAACACTCATTGTCCATCATGTTGATTATAGCCATCCTAGTGGGTAGATGAGAAAGTGATGATATGCTGTCAAAATTATCAGGTCTGCTCAATGTGGTCAGGACCCTACATGGTAAAAAAGAATAGGGCCCTGACACATAGAATGGGAACATACAGGTTGATGCCACTGAGAATCTTTTTTTTTTTTTTTTTTTTTTGAGACAGTGTCTTGCTCTGTCGCCCAGGCTGGAGTACAGTGGCACAATCTTGGCTCACTGCACCCTCCACTTCCTGGGTTCAAGTGGTTCTCCTGCCTCAGCCTCCCGAGTAGCTGGGACTACAGGCACATGCCACCACGCCTGACTAATTTTTGTGTTATTAGTAGAGATGGGGTTTCACCATGTTGGCCAGGCTGGTCTTGAACTCCTCACCTCAAGTTATCTGCCCACCTCAGCCTCCCAAAGTGCTGGGATTACAGGCAAGGGCCACCACCCCGGTCCCACTGAGAATCTTGAATCCTCAGATTCCTCTGACTCCTAGAGCTGTAAAAGTGACCTATCCATCCCTCCCTGTTAAGAGCTAACCCTCCTCCCTTGCTTGGAAACCCTATAGAGGCATCCACAAGACGTTTGTCCCTGTGCCCACCTCCTCTCCTGCCCACAAGGGTTGTAACTAGGCTTAAATTCCAGCATAAACAAGCCAGGGATGTGACGGGCCTCATAGGGGAGGAAAGGGCCTATATCCCAAAGTAGCTGGAGGGCCAAGCCAGCATGACCAGCAGAAGTCGGGTGAGTTTGTGCAGGAGTCAACCTTGAGGGTGCTCGATCAGGGGGCTGCAGTGTGAGGTCAGATAGGAAAGGGTTTATTGATTCGGAAGTCCTTTGGGAGTTCAGGGCTGCACACCCAGGCAAGGACTCCAGGAGAAGGTGTAAACTTGCTGCCAGGAGGGCTCCTAGAAGACGGGAAAAAGTAGGAGGCCATGCTAAGTGAGATCCAAATGCCAGAATTGCCAGGGGAGACGGTGGCAGATGCGATGAAAGGTCAGGGAAGTGGCAATGCTTGGGAAGGCTGCATAAGGCCCAGGGAGCCAGAGGCGACGATCTTCCATGGAAAGGCCAAGATTCCCCTTTACCAAGTCCACGAGGAATGGACCAGGAAGAGAACACCAGCCAGCATCACAGAGAAGCTCAGAAAGCCTCCTCTGCAGGAGATGCCATCACAGGATGGTGGGTGAGGCCCCTTGGGAGCTAGGCTCACTGATAGCAAAAGGGATGGTGGAACCCTGGAGTAAGAGAGGCCAGGAGATGGCACCCATTAGGGGACACAGTGCTCACCATGAGTGGTAGGGCCCAGGATTGGCCAGGAGGGGCTGGCCTGCAGAACATGGAGATGACCCTTAAATCTTGGTGTTCATAGGGACAGACTAGATGGGCCACAAGCAGGCAGCTACTCAACTTACGCCATCAAAATACCTCAAGAATGAACGCCGAGGAAACTTCCCCCAGTAAAAACATCACCATTGCTTTCCTAGTGGGCTTCCCAGGAAACACGTCTGTCACATACGTCAGCTAAATGTCATGTGTGAGCCTAGATGTTGGCGGGGGTGCGGATGCTATAAAGAAGAGTATTGGAATCGTTGGTAAATTTTTCAATATAAGAATGTATTTATGGCTGGATGCAGTGGCTTACACCTATAATTCTACCACTTTGGGAGGCCGAGGCAGGCAGATCACTTGAGCCCAGGAGTTCGAGATCAGCCTGGGCAACATGGTGAGACCCTACCTGTACAAAAAAATACAAAAATTAGTCAGACATGGTGGTGTGTGCCTGTGGTCCCAGCTACTCAGGAAGCTGAGGCAGAAGAATCGCTTGAGCCTGAGAGGTTGAGGCTACAGTGAGCCGAGATTGTGCCACTGCACTCCAGCCTGGGTGACAGTGAGACTCTGTCTGTCTCAAAATATATATTTATACAATATTTATATAATAAACGTATATTTATTATATATGTTATATAAATTATATATTATATAAATTATACAAAATTATATTTATTATATATGTTATGAGATGATAGCATTGTATCAATGATAAAAGTCTGAATTGGACCATTGTTCTGTGCTTCTGTAACACAATATTCTTGCTCTTAGGAGATATAGGTTGAAGCATTTAGGAGTAAAGGGACATAAATCATGCAACATGCATTCAAATGGTTCAGGAATAAAAATACTCATGAAGGGCTGGGCGTGGTGGCTCAGGTCTGTAATCCCAGCACTTTGGGTGGCTGAGGTGGGAAGATCGCTTGAGGCCAGGAGTTCGAGCCCAGCCTGGGCAACATGGTGACATCATGACCCCCATTTCTACCAAAAAATTTTAAAAATTTAGCCAGGCATGGTGGTGCATGCCTATAGTCCCAGCTACTCAGGAGGCTGAAGTAGGAAGATTGCTTGAGCTTGGGAGGGTGAGGCTACAGTGAGCTATAATCACGCCACTGCACTCCAGCCTGGGTGACAGAGTGAGACTCTGTCTCAAAAACAAAACAAAACAAAAACCTCCTAAAATGTATAAATAGCAAGAAAATGAGGGGCAAATGTGGTAAAAAATATAATGGCTAAAAAGTCTAAGGAAGTTCTTTGTGTGCATCTTGTAAATTTTCTCAGCATTTCAAATTACTTCAAAATAAAGTGTTTTTTTAAATAACAAATAAAGCACAGGCTTTGGAGTCAGGCAGTGTGTTAGTGTGAGAACCTAGCCTGACAACTTCCTAGCTGTGTGATCACGGGCAAATGTTTCCACCTTTGTGAGCCTCCATGTTCTCATCTGAAAAAGGAACCTTAGGACTACGCCTGCCCAGCCTGCCTACCTCTCGGTGTTGCAGTAAAAGTTGGATAAGGGCAGGAAAGGCCCTTAATGAGCATGTGCATTAATCGAGGTTTTTCCAGAACTAACAGGGTATTTATATTTATTTTGAGGTATTTATTTTAAGGAATTGGCTCATGTGATTGTGGAGGCTGGCAAATCCAAAATCGGCAGGGTAGACTGGCAGGTGGGAGACCCAGGAAGGAGTTGCTGCTGCAAGTGGAGGCCAAGGCACTGCAGCCGAATTCCCTCTTCCTTGGGGGAGCTCAGTCTTTAGTCTATTAAGGCCTTCAACTGATTGAATCAGGCCCACCACCTTACAGATGATAATCCACTTTACTCAAAAAAAAAGTCTACCAATGTAAATGTTAATCTTATCTTTAAAAAATACCTTCACAAAAAGATCTAGGATAATGTTTGACCAAATATCTGGGTACCTGGGCTCAGCCAACTTGACACATAAAATTAACCATCCCAGTATGGAAGGGCCCTGGTCCCCCACTACATCTTGGAGATTTTTGCCTTCTCTGTGAATTATTATTGCTGGGCCAAGGCAGCTGGCTGGGAGTCCTCTGCGAGTTTTGTTTTCAAAGCTCTGGGCACAGGAGTTGCATGTCTGTCTCCTTTCTGGCTCACACACTTGGGGTGTGTTTTCTTGCCCTTGCGAGGCTGGACAAGTGCCTCATACGGTCCCTCGGCTGTCCACAAGTGTGCTGAGAAACTGGACACACAGAGGTTCCCACCCGCTGACCACACGGGGGCCTGTGTTTACCCAGAAGCAGACCAAAACCTGAGTCCAGCTAGGTCCCTGCTTTGCTGTGTGTCCCTGAGCAAGTCAGTTCCCTCTCTGGGTCTCTTTTTCCTCTCTGCCGCTTTCCCTGAATGTGAGTTCCCTGGCCACTGAGAACAGGGGGAAAGGGACAGAGCCTCAAAAGATGACCTGTGCGCCCCTGCTTCTAAGCACTTTGCAGGTATTATTTAATCATCAAGCTAATCCTACGAGAGAGCTGCCATTTTCCCCCAGCTTACAGATGGGGGAATTGAGGCGCGAAGAGGGCAGGCGATGTGCTCAAGGACAGACATCTAGCAGGTATGAAGCCCTCACAATGGGGTTCTAGAGGCTGTTTAGTTAACCTCAAGTTTTGGGGAGCCCCTGAAGGGCTGGTCACCACGCTGCCGGGGACAGGGAAAGCCTCTGAGCTTGAGTCAGTTTTGGTTTCCCTGCTGGGGTGCAGGAGTCAGTAAACCTTGCTGCAAGGGGCGGGGAAGAGCATTTGAGCTTAAGTTAGTTTTGGTTTCCCTGCCCCGGATGCAGGAGTTGGTAAACTCACTGCAAGGGGCAGGGCAGAGCCTCTGAGCTTAAGTTAGTTTTGTTTCCCTGTCCCGGATACAAGAGTTGGTAAGCTCGCTGCAGTGGGTGGAGAGAGGCCTCTAGACTTCAGTTTCAGTTTCCTGGCTCTGGGCAGCAGCAAGAATTCCTCTGCCTCCCATCCTACCATTCACTGTCTTGCCGGCAGCCAGCTGAGAGCAATGGGAAATGGGGAGTCCCAGCTGTCCTCGGTGCCTGCTCAGAAGCTGGGTTGGTTTATCCAGGAATACCTGAAGCCCTACGAAGAATGTCAGACACTGATCGACGAGATGGTGAACACCATCTGTGACGTCCTGCAGGAACCCGAACAGTTCCCCCTGGTGCAGGGAGTGGCCATAGTGAGTCCAGGGCTGAGGTTGGGTCTCTGGGAGGCAGGAGATTCCACGGCGGCAGCAAGGCCGAGCTACTGGGTGCTGGGTGCCTATTATGTGCGAGGCCCACACTTGGGTGGGATGTGGTGTAGGAGTCTCAGGCTCTGGAGCAGGCGCTTGCTCCAGAGCTGTGTGACACTGGGCAGGCTACTTAACCTCTCTGTGCCTCAGTCTCTGACTCTGTAAAATGGGGAGAGGCATAATACCCACTTCAGAGTATCGTAAGGCTTGAGCACATCATGTTCTTAGCAAAAGACTGGCAGTGCTCAGTGAATTCACTGTGATTACTCACTGCGATTTTCTTCTATCCTCTCCACAGTACAGAGGAGTAAACTTAGGGAGGCTAGAGAACTTTGTTCAAACTACCCAGGTTGCCTTGTGGTTTCTCCGCAGCAAGAAGGAGTGGCTTTTATCAGTTAGAAATATTTGGTTTTGTGGACACAAATCTCAGGACTGAGGCTGAAAATTCTGGACCTCTGGGGAGGAAGGGGGACTGGGGAGATGCCAGGACCCTAGAATTGGGGGCGTGGGGGTCCTGATGGCCCAATACTATCCTCTTAGCCTCCTGAGCTGCTGACGTCCCTTCTCTGCTGCTGCCACACTTTTTGGTCTCTACCCCTTGCACACATCCGCTAGTGCCTCAATAAAGAAATCTAGACACGTGGTGTCCCCAGCCCTGGCCCAGGCCAGCAAGCTAAGGCAAGTTTGGTTAATAGCTATTGTCAGAACTGGGATTTTAAGCCTGGGTAATTGGCTTGAGGGCATGCATGTTTAACCACTACACTATCCTGCCTCTCAATTTTTTTTTCCTCATGGAAGTAAAACAGAAAAAGTGCCCAGATCAAAGTGTCCAGCTTGATAGGTAGCCACAAACAATGTAACTGTGTAACCCCCACCCAGATCCAGAAACAAAACATTCTCAGCCCCCCAGAGCCCTGGGCCCCCGATCCAGTCAGCACCTCCAAACCCAGGTAGGCAATCTCCTGACTTCTAACAGCATAGACACGTTTTGCCTGTTTTTAAACGTTTTACAATTATAGGGTGACCAACTATCCCAGTTCATCCAAGATTGGGGTGTTTCCTGGGATGTGGGACTCTTGGTGTGAAAGCTGGGAATGTAAACCAGGATGCATGGGTGAACCCTACATAAATGGCATCATGGGCTCTGTGTGCTTTAGTGCGTGGTTTCTCTGACCTATGATGTTTATGAAATTTATGTTGTGGGGTACAGTTGTTTATCTTTTCATTGTTGTGTCAATTCCATTATGTGAATATTCCACATTTGTCCATTCTACTGTGTTTTTTTATTTTTACATAATTGTGCATATTTATATGGGGTACATGTGATATTTGGACACATGGATACAATGTGAAATGATCAGGGTAGTTAGGATATCCATCACCTCAAACATTGATCATTTATTTGTGTTGAGAACAGTTCAGATCTTCTCTTCTAACTATTTTGAAATATATAATAAATTATTGTTAACTATAGTCACCCCATTGTGCTATCAAACACTAGAATTTATCCCTTCTATCTAACTGTATGTTTGTATCCATTAACCAACTTCTCTTCATTTCCTCCTCTACTTCCCAGCCTCTGGTAACTATGATCCTACTCTCTACCTCCATGAGATCAACTTTTTTTAACTTCCACATAAACACATGCAATATTGTCTTTCTATGCCTGACTTATTTCATTTAACATAATGACCTCTAGTTCCATGCACATTGCTGCAAATGACAGAATTCCATTCTTTTTGTGTCTGAATAGTATTCTATTGTGTATATATACTACATTGTCTTTATCCATTCAGCTGCTGATGGATACGTTGGTTGATTCCATATCTTGGCTTTTGTGAATAGTGCTGCAATAAACATGAGGGTGCAGTTATCCCTTTTTTGGATAAATACCTAGTAGTGGGATTGCTGGATTGAATGGCAGTGCCATTTTTATTTTTTTTAGAAACCTCCATACTGTTTTCCGTAATGACTGTGCTAATTTACATTCCCACCAACAGTGTGTAAGATTCCCTTTACTCCAAATCCTTGCTAGCGTTTATTTTTTGTCTTTTTGATAATAGCTATTCTAACTGGGGTGAGATGGTATCTCATTGTGGTTTTGATTTGCATTTCCCTAGTGATTAGTGATGTCAAGCATTTTTTCATATACCCATTGGCCATTTTGTATGTCTTCTTTTGAGAAATGTCTATTTAGGCCCTTTGGCTGCTTTTTAATGGGATGGGTTGTTTTCTTTGCTGTTGAGTTGTTCACGTTCCTTGTATATTCTGGATATTAAACCCTTGTTGGAAAAATAGTTTCCAAATATTTTCTCCCATTCTACAGCTTGTCTTTTCACTCTTGATTGTTCCCTTTGATGTGCAGAAGCTTTTTCATTTAATATAGTCCCAATTGTCTATTTTTTGTTTTTGTTGCCTGTGCTTTTGAAGTCTTAGCCACAAAATACTTGCATAGACCAATATCATGAAGCATTACTCTTCTGCTTTATTCTATTAATTTTATCATTTCAGGCCTTATGTTTAACTCTTTAACCCATTTTTAGTTAATTTTTTATAAGATGACAGACGGGGGCCTAGTTTCATTCTTCTACATATGGATATCCAGTTTTCCCAACACCATTTATTGAAGAGAGTATCCTTTCCCTAATGTGTGTTCATGGTGCTTTCTCAATCAGTTGGCTGTAAATTTGTGGATTTGTTTCTGGGTTCTCGATTCTGTTCCTTTGGTCTATATGTCTGTTTTTATACCAATCCCATGCTGCTTTGGTTACTATAGCTTTGTAGTATATTTTGAAGTCACGTAGCATGATGCCTCTAGCTTTGTTCTTTTTCCTCAGTACTATTTGGCTATTTGAGATCTTTTGTGTTTCCATACAAATTTTAGGATTGTTTTTTCTATTTCTGTGAAAAAAAATGTCACTGGTATTTATAAGGATTGCATTGATTCTGTAGATTGCTTTGGGTAGTATGGTTATTTTAACAATATTAATTCTTCCAATCCATGAGCATGGGATGTCTTTCCATTTGCTTGTGTCACCTTCAGTTTCTTTTATCAGTGTTTTGTAGTTTTCACTGTAGAGATCTTTCACTTCCTTAGTTAAATGCATTCCTAGGTATTTTTGTTAAATACTATAAGATTGCTTTCTTGATTTCTTTTTCAGCTAGTTCATTACTGATGTGTAGAATATGTTGGTATTTTGGTATGTTGGTATGGTATGTTGATTTTGGTATTTTGATTTTGTATCCTGCAACTTTACCAAATTTATCAGTTCTAAGAGGTTTTCTTGGTGGAGTCTTTAGGTTTTTCTGTATAGAAGATCATATGGTCTGCAAAGAGGGGCAATTTGACTTTTTCTTTTCCTATTTGGATGCCTTTTATTTCTTTATCTTTTGGGATTGCTTTGGCTAGGACTTCCAGGATACAGGCTGAAAGCCTTTCCCAATTCAGTATGATGTTAACTGTGGGTTTGTCATATATGGACTTTATTATGTTGAGGTATGTTCCTTACATGCCTAATTTGTTGAGGGTTTTTAGCATAAAGGGATGTTGAATTTTACCAAATGTTCTTCTACATCTACCAGGATAATCATATGATTTGTCCTTCATTATGTTGATGTGATGTGCAAATGTTCAACATTTGTTGACTTGCTCATGTTGAACCATCCTTGCATCCCTGGGATAAATCCCACTTGATCATGTGTTATCTTTTCGAAGTATTATTGGATTTGGTTTGCTAGCATTTTGTTGAAGGTATTTGTATCTATGTTCATCAGGGATATTGGCCTGTAGTTTTCTTTTTTGTTGTGTCTTTGGTCTAGTTTTGGTATCAGGGTAATGCTGACTTCATAGAAGTGGTTAGGAGTAATTCCCTCCTCTTCAATTTTTTTGGAATAGTTTGAGAAGAATTGGTGTTAATTCTTCTTTATAAGTTTGGTAGAGTTCAGCAGTAAAGCCATCTAGTCCTGGGCTATTCTTTGTTGAGGAGTTTTTTATTACTGATTCAATCTACTCACTCACTATTGGTCTGTTCAGGTTTTCTGTTTCTTCCTGGATCAATCTTAGTAGGTTGTATGTGTTCAGGAATTTATCCATCTCCTCTAGGCTTTCCAATTTGTTCACATGTAGTTGTTCATCATAGTCTCTAATGACCCCTTTTATTTCTGTGGTATCAATGGTAATGTCTCCTTTTTTATCCCTGATTTTATTTTACTTGGGTCTTCTCTTTTTTTAGTCTATTTAGTCTAAGTAGCGGTTCATCCATTTTGTTTATCTTTTTAAGAAACCAACTTTTTATTTTGTTAATTTTTAGCCTCTATTATGTTTAGTTCTGTTCTGATTTTTATTATTTCTTTCCTTCTACTAATTTTAGGTTTGGTTTATTCTTGCTTTTTTGTTTGTTTTTGAGATGGATTTTTGCTTTTGTTGCCCAAGCTGGAGTGCAATGACGTGATCTCAGCTCACTGCAACCTCTGCCCCCTGGGTTCAAGTGATTCTCCTGCCTCAGCCTCCTGAGTAGTTGGGATCACAGGCATGCACCACCACGCCCGGCTAATTTTGTATTTTTAGTAGAGACGGGGTTTCACCATGTTGGTCAGGCTGGTCTCAAACTCCTGACCTCAGGTGATCCACCCGCCTCAGCCTCCCAAAGTACTGGAATTTCAGGTGTGAGCCACTATGCCTGGCTTTTCTTGCTTTTCTAATTCCTTAAGATGAACCGTTAGGTTGTTTATTTGAAATTGTTCTACTTTTTTTGATGTAAGCATGTATTGCTTCAAACTTTGCTGTATCCCTTAGGTTTTGGTATGTTGTGTTTCCATTTTCATTTGTTTCCAGAAATTTTTTGATTTCCTTTTAAATTTCTTCATCAGCCCAGTGGTTGTCCAGGAGCGTGTTGTTTAATTTTCACGTATTTGTACAATTTCCAAAGTTCCTCTTGTTCCATTGTGGTCTGTATCCATTGTGGTAAGTATCCATTAAGATACCTGACAGTATTTCAATTTTTAAAAATTTGTTGAGCCTTGTTTTGTGACCTACCATAGGGTCTATCCTGGAGAACATTCCCTGTGCTGATAAGAATGTGTATTCTGTAGCTGAATAAATAATCTGCAAATATTCATTAGGTCCATTTGGACTATAATGCAGACTAAGTCCAGTATTCTTTGCTGAATAAATAATCTGCAAATATTCATTAGGTCCATTTGGACTATAATGCAGACTAAGTCCAGTATTTCTTTGCTGATTTTCTGTCTACGTGATCTGCCCAATACCAAAAGTGAGATGAAGTTCCCAGCTATTACTGTATTGGCAGTCTCTCGGTCTCTGTTTAGCTCTAATATTTGCTTTACATATCTCAGTGCTCTACCGTTGGGTGGTCATACATATGTGTATAAATATACATATACATATATATGTCTATATACATATATACACATACTTATATCCTCTGGCTGAATTGATCTCTTGATCATTAATTATAAAATGACCTTCTTTGTCTCTTTTTATGTTTTTGACTTAAAGTCTACTCTGTCTGATATAAGTATAGCTACTCCTGCACACTTTTGGTTTCCATTTGTGTGGAATATTTTTTCCATTCCTTCACATTCAGTCTATATGTATCTTCACAGATGCAGTGAGTTTATTGGAGGCAGCATATAGTTGGACCTTATTTTTTATCCATTCAGCTTGTCTGTATCTTTTAACTAGAGAATTTAAACCGTTGTTAAATTCAGGGTTGTTATTGATAGGTAACAACTTACTCCTGTCATTTTGTTATTTGTTTTGATTGTTTTGTACATTCTTTGTTCTTTTCTTTCTCTTTATTGCCTACCTTTCCAATTGTTGGGGGTTTTGTAATGATAACATTTGACTCCTTTCTCTTTGTCATTTGTGTATCTGCTCTACCAGTGAGTTTTATACTTTTGTGTGTTTTCATGATGGTAGACATCATCCCTTTGCTTCCAGATGTAACACTCTCTTAAGCATTTTCTGTAGAACTAGTCTAGTGGTGATGAATTCCCTCTGTTTTTGCTTGTCTGGGAAAGACTTTGTTTCTCCTTCATTTTTGAAGGATAGCTTTGCTGGGTATCGTATTCTTGTCTGAAAGGGTTTTTTTTTAGCACTTTGAGCATATCATCCTATTCTCTTCTGACCTGTAAGTTTTCTGCTCAGAAATCTGCTATTAGTCTGAGGAGAATTCCCTTATATGTGACTTTATACTTTTGTCTTGCTATTTTCAGAATTATATGTTTGTCTTTGACTTTTGACAGTTTGACTATAATATGCCTGCAGAAGACATTTTGGGGTTGAATCTATTTGAGAATCTTTGAGCTTCCTGTATCTGGGTGTCTAAATCTCTTGTAAGACATGGGACGTTTTCAGCTATTACTTCATTAAATAGATTTTCTATGCCTTTGCCCATCTCTTCTCCTAGATCTTTCCAAATTTAAATATTTGGTTACTTTATGATTACCAATATGGCACATAGGCTTTCTTCACTCATTTTTATTTATTTTTCTCTCCTTTTGTCTGGCTGGATTATTTCAAAAGAACTGTCTTCAAGTTTAGAAATTCTTTCTTCTCCTTGACCTAGTCTATTGTTAAAGCAGTGAGTTGTATTTTTATTTTATTCATTGATTTCTTCAGTTTCAGGAATTCTCTTTGGTTCTTTTTAGCAATATCTATCTCTTTGTTGAGTTTCTCATTCAGAGCATAAATTATTTTCCTGATTTATTTGTATTGTTTATCTGTGTTTTCTTGTATCTTACTGAATTTCTTTAATATCATGGTTTTGAATTTTTCTTAACCATTGCACAGATATCATTTTCTTTGGGATCTGTACTAAAGAATTATTGTGCTCCTTTGGAAGTGCCATGTTTCCCTTGCTTTTTCATGTTTCTGTGTCCTTACATTGATATCAGCACAGCTAATGTAACAGTCACTTCTCCAATTTTATTTATTGACTTTCATAGGGAAAGACATTTTCCTCTGCTGGGCATGATGGCTCATGCCTATAATCCCAGTGACTCAGGAGGCTGAGGTGGGAAGATTGCTTCTGGCAGGAGTTTGAGGTTACAGTGAGATATGATTGTGCCACTATGCTCCAGCCTAGGTGACAGAGCAAGACCCTGTCTCTAAAAAATTAAATAAAAATAAAATAAAAAAGATGTTTTCCTGTAGATGTGTCTATAGTGTTGGTTGAGTGGAGCGCTTTGGCTTTGATTCTGTGTGGGCACAGTTAGTGGAGCCTCCACATGATTTCATTAGCATCAGTGTTGTCTGTGAGCTCCTCAGTGGCTGACAGTGTAGTTGTTAATGGAGTCTGTGGAAAGGCTGTGCTGGGAACAGGGACATCAGGCAGGTTGGTCTTCAAGCACCAGTGGTGACAGCAGTATGCCAGGCATGCTGGTCCTCAGGCCCCCAGGCAGTGTATGTGGGTGTCAATGCTGGTGTGTCCAGGTGGGCAGGGTATCAGACTTCAAGATGACATGTTCGGGTGCCAGTGGTAGCAGCAGTGGACTGAACAGGCAGGTCCTTGGGCCCCCAGGTGGCTTGTTTGGAAGCGGCAGCAGCAGGCCAACCCTCAGGCCCTCAAGTGGTGTACACAGGCATCAGTGATGGCAAGCTGGGTAGGCTGGTCCCCAGGCCCTTGGGAGACACATGTGGTCACTAGTGGCAGGCAGAGTGGGCCCATCCTTAGGCCTCTGGATGGTGTGTGCCTGTGCTGCTGGTGGTAAAGAGGACGGGTTAATCTCCTGGCCCCTGGGCAGCACATGTGGATGCTGGTGGCAGGTGGGGCGAGCCTGTCTTCAGGTTCCCTAATGGTGTGTGCAGGTGCTGGCCGCAGGTGGGACAGTTTTACCCCCATTCCCCCAGATGCGCACAGGCACCAGCAACAATGGCAGGTGAGGCGATCCTATCCTCAGGCCCTGGGACAGTAAGCACAGGTGCTGGTGGCAGGTGGGGCAGTTCAATCCGTTTCTATTGCCAGCGGCCATTTGAGTCACCTCCAGGTTGGGGCTAGTATGAAAAGTGTTACTATGAGCATCCCAATCAGGTCTTTGTGGGGCAAATGGATGCCTGCCACTCAATGTTAAGACCATTTTTGGCTTTTACTTGAGTTGAGAAATACCACTGCCTGCTAGAGATCCCTGTAACCCCAGAATCTAGTGTCTCATATCTGCTTCTTTGTCACTGGCAGGGTGGCTCCTATGGACGGAAAACAGTCTTAAGAGGCAACTCCGATGGTACCCTTGTCCTCTTCTTCAGTGACTTAAAACAATTCCAGGATCAGAAGAGAAGCCAACGTGACATCCTCGATAAAACTGGGGATAAGCTGAAGTTCTGTCTGTTCACGAAGTGGTTGAAAAACAATTTCGAGATCCAGAAGTCCCTTGATGGGTTCACCATCCAGGTGTTCACAAAAAATCAGAGAATCTCTTTCGAGGTGCTGGCCGCCTTCAACGCTCTGAGTAAGCATTGCTGGGTGTCAGGAGAGAAAAGCCAAAGAAGCGGGTGCCAGACAGCTCTGTGCAACCTCTAGGCCATGAGTGGGATAGATACCACTGCTGCTTTAAAAAATGGGAGACCATAGACCCTCAGGAGAGAAGAATCCCTTCTACCCTGGACTCGCTCTCTTCTCTGGAACTAACTTCTCCCCCATACCCTGATTGTCTTTGGAGAAAATGTTCTGGATTCTAGAATCTAAGGCAGAGCCTTTTAAGCCATACTGTACACATAAATCACCTGGAACCTTGTTAAAATGCAGATCCTGACTCAGGAGGTCTGAGTTAGAGCCCAGGATTTCATATTTCTAGCCAGCTCCATGATGAGCTGCTGGTCCGCAGATCATGCTTGCAGGTTTTGACCAGAGTCAGTGTTGGTTAGAGTAAGAGGATGAGGCAGACATCTGGGAAAAGTCCAGCTGGGGCAAGCATTTGAAGTCTGCCTTCCTACCAGGTCAAAATCAAGGCAACGACCTTCCATAGATAACTATCAAAGCTTGAGGGGGTGCCTTGAACCCAACTCCTAAATCCCTAAGACCTGCCCACCTCTTGTGTCTCCTGTCTCAGCAAACATTCCCACACTCTTGCATATTGTTAAAGTAACCTCTGCTTACCAGGCTTCTGGTTTAATAAAAGATGGCTAGAGTGACTCCATCTTAAAGCAAGTAGCTAGGCACTCAAAAGGAACCTACAGGCTTAATACTTGGGTCTGAAAATAGCCACAGTCTAAGCTGACCACCAATTATAATTGCAGAATATTTAAGGCCATACAAAACATCTCCCACTAAGCCTACAAAATGTCCAGGTGTCCTAAAAGTTCAGCCCACTTAAAGGCAGCATTAATGAGCAGGTTTAGGTTGAAGGATTAATGGTCATCAATACCACTGTTAAGAAGAAAATTCTTGGCCAAATTGAATTTAATGGAGTTTAACTGAGCAGACAATTCACAAATCTAGAAGCCTCCTGAGCCAGAGTAGGTTCAGAGAGTCTTGAACACAGCCACGTGGTGGAAGAAGATTTATGGACAGGAAAAGGAAAATGATGTACTGAAAATGAAAGTGAGGTACAGAAACAGCCAGACTGGTTATAGCTCAGCATTGGCCTTATTTGAACGAGATTTGAACAGTTGGCCACCTTTGATTGGCCGAAACTCAGTGATTGGCACAAGAGTAGGTTGCAGTCTGTTTACACATCCTTTTAGGTTATAGTTCACCATGTACAGAGAAATTTTAGGCCAAACTTAAAATATGTAAGGAGGCAGCTTTAGGCTAAACTTGATTTAACAGCACCAATACCCCCTACCTTTAGTGAGCACATCTGCACATTCCAATTTTAATGACAGCTCCTTAGAATTTCTTATCAACGAAGACACTAACAAAGAATGGCGCATTCCTCCTTCTCCTTTCTGAGGATGCCCTACCCTGTAACAAAGTCGTTTCTAATAAATTTGCTTCTTTCACCATACTCTGTACCTGCCTTGAATTCTTTCCTGCATGAGATCCAAGAACCCTCTCTTGGGATCTGAATCAGGACCCTCTTTTCCAGCAACGCTATCACCTGTAAACCAAAAGTATCTGAGACAGGTCTCAATCTATTTAGAAAGTATATTTGCCAAGGTGAAGGATGTACCCATGACACAGCCTCAGGAAGTTCTGATGACATGTACCCAAAGTGCTCAGGGTACAGCTTGGTTGTATACGTGGTATGGTTTGGCTGTGTCCCCACCAAATCTCATCTTGAATTGTAGCTCCCACAATTTCCACATGTCATGGGAGGGACCCAGTGGGAGGTAATTGAATCATGGAGGCAGGTATTTCCCATGCTGTTCTCATGATAATGAATAAATCTCACGAGATCTGATGGTGTCATAAAGGGGAGTTCCCCTGCACAAGCTCTCTCTGGCCTCCCACCATGTAACATGTCCCTTGCTCTTCCACCATGATTGTGAGGCCTCCCCAACCATGTGGAACTGTGAGTCAATCAAACCTCTTTCCTTTATAAACTACTCAGTCTCAGGTATGTCTTTATTAACAGCATGAGAACAGACTAATACAATACATTTTAGGGAGACATGAGACATCAATCAATGCAGGTAAGATGTACATTGGTTTGGTTTGGAAAGGCAGGACAACTCAAAGTGGGGGCTTCCAGGTCATTGGTAGATTTAAAGATTTTCTGATTGGCAATTGATGGAAAGAGTTATCATCAATAGAAGGGAATGTCTGGGTTATGATGATAAAGGGTTGTGGAGACCAAAGTTTTATCATGCAGCTGAAAACTCCAGGTAGCAGACTTCAGAGAGAATAGATTGTAAATGTTTCTTATCAGACAAGAGCCTGTTCTATCACTAATTCCAAAAGAGAGGGAGGTATCATGAGGCATGTCCAGCTCCTCCTTCCCATCATGGCCTGAACTGGTTTTTCAGGTCAACTTTGGAATGCCTTTGCTGAGAGGAGAGGTCCATTCAGATGACTGGGGGTGCTTAGAATTTTGTTTTTGGTTTATATACCTAAGCCAGGATTGTATCTCCAGCTCCCCCACCTCCTCACTCACAGCCCATCACTAAGTCCTGCCAGTTCTGCCTAACTTGCTCCTAAATCTGCATCATTTCTCTCCCTTCCCACTGCTACTTCCCTAGTCAACGTCACCACCAGGGATGGGGCAATGGCTTCCTAATTGTCTCCCTGCCTCCTGTCTCACTCCACCCTGCAGCTGGTGCTCTCTTTCCATGCACAAATATTGTGTCACACACTCTGCCTCTAATGGCTTTTCACTGCATTTAGGAAGTTGACCAAAAAGGCCAAACTCTGTAAAATATTTTAAGAGGTTTTTTCTGAGCCAAATATGAGGACCATGACCTGTGACACAATCTCAGTAGTTCCTGAGAACGTGTGCCCCAGGTGATTAGGTTACAGCTTGATTTGTATACATTTTAGGGGGACAGAATTTACAGGCAGAAACGTAAATCAGTACACATAAGATGTGCATTGATTCAGCCTGGAAAGGCAAAATGTCTCAAAGCAGGGTCTTCCAGGTCATAGATGGTTATAAAGATTTCCTGATTAGCAGTTAGTTGAAGGAGTTCAGCTTAAGAAAAGGGGAGTTGTGGAAGACAAGGTTCTTATTATGTAGATGAAGCCTCCAGGTAGCAGGCTTCAAGGAGAATAGGTGGTAAATGTCCCTTATCAGACCTTAAAGATGTCAGACGATTAGTTAAAATCTCTCCTGAATCAGGAAAAGATCTGGAAGGGGAAGGGGATTCTCCACAGAATGTGAATTTTTCCACAGGACACAGCTTTGCAGGGCCATTCCAATATATGTCAAAGAAATATATTTTGGGGTAAAATACTTTTGATTTCCTTTAGGGCCTGTTATCTGTCAGGTGATGCCAGAGTTAGGCTGGAATTTGGTGTCATACTGCTACAAAGAGTCTGTTCTGTCAGTCTTGGGGTCTCTATTTTAATGTTAGTGTTTGTCGATTGTGCCTGAATTCCAAAGGGAGGAGGGTATAATGAGGTGTCTGAGCTCCCCCTTCCCATCATGACCTGAGCTAGTTTTTCAGGTTTCTTTGGGGGTTCCCCTTGGCCAAGAGAGGGGTTCATTCAGTAGGTTGGGAAGGCTTAGAATTTTATTTTTGGTTTACAAGGATAAGGATCAAACTCCTCAGCAGGACAGGACTTTGATGATCTGGCAGCCCCTACTTACTTACCTCTCCAGCTGTACCACTCACCACCAACTAACTCTCTATGCTTCAGCCACTCTGGCCTTCCCTGAGCTCCTCAAACCCACATGATGCTAGCTCAACTTGAGACTTTGGCCTATACTGTTCCTTTGCCTGGAATATACTTCCCCCAGCCTTTTATTTTTGGATAACTCCAACTCATCCTTTAAGTCCTCTGGCTCTCTATGTCTGGGTTAGATCCACTTTCCACATGCTCCAGTAGCAATTTGTGCTGTCTGAATCATGGGATTTATCACTTTGCAAACCCCAACTATCTGAGACAGGTCTCAGTTAGTTTAGAAAGTTTATTTTGCCAAGGTTGAGGATGCGCACCCGTAACACAGCCTCAGGAAGTCCTGATGACATGTGCCCAAGGCGCTCAGAGCACAGTTTGCTTTTGTACGTTTTAGGGAGACCTGAGACATCAATCAACATATGTAAGGTGAACAATGGTTCACTCCGGAAAGGCGGGACAACTCGAAGCAAAGTGGGACAATTCAAAGTGGGGAGAGGGCTTCCAGATCATAGGTAGATAAGAGACCAATGGTTGCATTCCTCTGAGTTTCTGATTAACCTCTTCCAAAGGAGGCAATCAAATACACATTTATCTCAGCAGAGGGATGACTTTGAATAGAATGGGAGGCAGGTTTGTCCTGAGAAGTTCCCAGCTTGACTTTTCCCTTTAACCGAGTGATTTTGGGGCCCCAAGATTTATTTTCCTTTCACAACTTATATGGAAATAATGTATTTAGCTTTCTCCTCTCCTAGACTATAAGCTCCATGAGGACAGGTATCATGAGTATCTTGTTCTTCTATGGTCTCTAGTACAATGTTCATTATTAATAATAGTTGTTGGTTGGATGGATGGATGGAGCATGATGGATAAATGGATGGAAGGTAAATGGATGGAAAAATGAATGTAGATGGATGGATGGATAGATAGATATTAAATATATGTATATATTTATGGATGAGGTAGATAGATGGATAGTCTCAAGCACAAAGTCTCAAGTACAGGTGCACATATAATCACAAACTTAAATAATTCCAGGCTGGGCACAGTGGTTCTTGCCTATAATCCCAGCGCTTTGGGAGGCTGAGGCAAGAGGATTACTTGAGGCCAGGAGTTTAAGACCAGCCTGGGCAACATAGTGAAACCCCATCTCTACAAAAGAATTAAAAATTAGATGTGGTGGCATGCAGCTGTATTCCTAACTACTGGGGAGACTGAGGCAGGAGGATCACTTGAGCACAGGAGTTCAAGGTTGCAGTGAGCTATTATTACACCACTATACTCCAGCCTGGACAACGGAGCAAGATCTTGTCAAAAGAAAAAAAAAAAAGAAAGAAAGAAAAGAAAAGGGGAGGGGAGGGGAAGAGAGGGGAGGGGAAGGGAAAATTCCCAAGCTGAAACTTAAGCCATCATTAAACAAATGGGGAAACAGAAAAGCCCAGGTCTTCTAAGCCCATGGCCAGAGTACCTTCCATCACCTATAGTTTTAAGGAATTTCTGGGTTACCAGGAACCATGAAGAACAATTAGCCCAGGCATCACTGATAAGGAGGAGACATACAGACATCCTGATAACTCACATTCACAGAAAGGTGGCCTGGCTTGGGGAAACATGTACCAGTTTGGGAGGTTGGCAGTTCTGAGTTCTTATCCTGGTCCTACTACTCACTTATGCCTGCCAGCTGTACAGTCAGACTAGAAACTAGATTCCAGGGCCATTAGGATGCTCAGGGTTGGGGGTGGGGGCCTGCTTCAAACAAGGGCTGGAGTCAAGGAGGGAGACAGGTGCATCATAATTCTCATAGGAAAGTCCTCTCTTCCTGTTCCAAGTGCCATGCTGGGAGACCTGGCCAGAGCGCCCTCTACTGGGTTCACCCCATCATGCAAGGATGGTGTGAGAATGAGAAATAAACTCTTCCCCACATGTGCTACCCAGAAGCTGCCACTAGATGGTGGTAAAGCTGCACATTCCAAATTATTATAAGCTCCTTTTTCTGCAAGGAAACACAGGGTCACTTTCTGAGAAAAGCAACCTACAGGGGAATTGGTAACTTGCTTTTCGTTTTGTTTTGTTTTTTAAACTAAATATTAGCCTAACTAATCTGGCCTATTTTTACACCAGGTCCAGGCTGGCTGTCTCCAATTCTGCATCTCTTTCCACCACTGTGTGCCACTACAACTCTCCCCCTAGGGCCTTTGACCCAAAGCAAGAAGTACCTATTTACTTGACTGGCTGGTATTTCCATTATCCTCATCTGTAAATTAGTAATTGCAATTGCACTTGCCAGCTAAGAGTTTTGTGAGGCTTGTATGTTTCACTGTACATAAAAGGCTTAGAGTAAACACACCATAAACGTTAGCTATTTATTATCATTATGGGGGAAGATAGAATGCTCTTTCCGTCAACCTCCCTGCATGCCAAGTGCCCAGAACCATGCCTAGGGAGTCAGTAAATATCCACTGGGGTGTATGAAAGGAACAAGCTAGCTGCTTTCTCCTGGTTTCTTATCTAAATGTGTTTATGGGCCAGGGAGCTGGCTCACGTCTGTAATTCCAACACTTTGGAAGGCCAAGGTGGGAGGATCACTTGAGGCCAGGAGTTCAAGACCAGCCTGGGCAACAGGCTTTTTTTTTTCTCCAAAAAAAAAGCCAAACATGGTGGCACACGCCTGTGGTCCCAGGTACTCAGAAGGCTGAGGCAGGAGGATCACTTGAGCCTTGAAATATATTTGAGGGTACAGTGAGCTATGATTGTGCCATTGCAGTCCAGCCTGAGCGACAGAGAAGACTCTGTCTCTAAAAGTAAGAATAATGATGAAACAAACTCAGTAGTCCTATAGACCATTTTTTGTTTGTTTTTGTTTCTATTTGTTTGGTTGTTTTTTTGTGGGGGGGGGAGGGTTGTTTTGTTTTTTAATGAACATAGAAATTGACCCTTCTGATCTTAAAGCTTGAAACTTACATTTGTTTTATCTAAGTTCCTTCCTCAGAAAAGGAACCTCAGACCTCTCAAAAAGTATCAAAGAACTGAAACTCACCAGTCACTGCATCCAGACAATGGGATGTCAAATCCCTTATTCCTCATGATTACCTCCTTACCCCTCCCTAATTCCCGTTTTCCCACACATAGTTACATTTCTTCCCTGCTATATAGAACCCTAACTTTAGTCTGTCAGGGAGAAGGATTTGAGACTGATCTCCCATCTCCTCAGCTGCAGCACCTGATTAAAGCCTTCTTCTTGGCAACACTTGTTTCCGCCATTGGCTTTCTATGTGGTGAGCAGCAGGACCTAGACTGAACCCCTGGTGTTTCAGTAACAGTAATCAATCAATAAATGTGTTTATTTTATTTTTATTTTTATTTTGAGACAAAGTCTCACTCTGTCACCCAGGCTGGAGTGCAGTGGTGCAATTATGGCCCAGTGCAACATCCACCTCTCGGGGTCAAGGAGTTCGCATGCCTTAGCCTCCTGAGTAGCTGGGATTACAGGCACCTGCCACCACGCCCAGCTAATTTTTGTATTTTTAGTACAGACGGGGTTTCATCATGTTGGCCAGGCTGGTCTCAAACTCCTGGCCTCAGGTGATCCGCCTGCCTCAGACTCCCAAAGTGCTGGGATTACAGGCATGAGCCACCGTGCCTGGCTAAATAAATGTGTTTATAAACAGTGGAACTCAGCTAGCAAGAATGGAAACCCATTGATTAAACCAGCCCCTGTCCCCAGACCTCCAGGGCCCTGCTGCCACCTTGCCTGCCTCCTCAAAGTCCCTGTACCCTGACATTCTGAAGTAAAATATTCACAGGATGGACTCAATGACAGAATATATTGCATGTAAAATATAAACTTTCCTTTCTTCCAGATGTATGCTAACTATGCCAACACAAACAATTTTTTAAAGAACCCACTTGCTCCCTACTAATTTGGATAATTCCCTTTCTCGTTTATAATTCCATCTCTTGTCCCTCCATTAGGTTCTGCTGATCTTGTCTTGGGTTAACACCATACTGTTTTCATTACAGTCAGTTTAGACTACACTTTATTATCTAATGGGCCAAGTCACCCTTCCCTACTATGTTTTATGTAAAGGTACCTGTCCTCTGACCGATTAAGCAAGAGTCGTGTGCTATCAAACTATAACTGACCTTCATTGTAGAGCAACCCTGGCTCTCTAAAACCAGGTTACATAAATAACAACGTTCCAATTTCTGTTTCACATCAGGCTTAAATGATAATCCCAGCCCCTGGATCTATCGAGAGCTCAAAAGATCCTTGGATAAGACAAATGCCAGTCCTGGTGAGTTTGCAGTCTGCTTCACTGAACTCCAGCAGAAGTTTTTTGACAACCGTCCTGGAAAACTAAAGGATTTGATCCTCTTGATAAAGCACTGGCATCAACAGGTAATTTTCCAACTGTCTATATATGGTTATCATTCATTTCCTTTTTATCGAGATAATTGACATCCAGTAAAGTGCAACAATCTTAGGTATACAGCTCAACGCATTTTTTACAATCTTACCAGCAACACCCAAATCAACATAGGGAACGTTTCGTGTACCCCAGAAGGTGCCTCAAGCCCATTGTCCCCCTAGTAATCCTCCCAAACAAACCCCTATTCTAACATCTATTACCACCGCAGATTAGTTTTGCTTGATTTTAAACAAACAATGTAAGTGGGATTATATGGTACATACTTCATGTCTGCCTTCTTTGGCTCAACGGGATGTCTGAGAGACTCATTCATATGGTTGCAGGGTCTTGCTCTGCTGCCCAGGCTGGAGTGCAGTGGTGGGATCTTGGCTCACTGCAACCTGTCTCCTGGGCTCAAGCAATCCTCCCATCTCAGCCTCCCAAGTAGCTGGAACTACAGGAGTGTGCCACCATACCTGGCTAATTTTTGTATTTTTTGTAGAGATGAGGTTTCACCATGTTGCCCAGGCTGGTCTTGAACTCCTGGGCTCAAGCTATGTGCCCACCTCAGCCTCCCAAAGTGTTGGGATTACAGACATGAGCCATGGCACCCAGCCATAGTAGCACTTTTTTTCATTGTTTTCCCATATTCAATTGTATTAATGTAACACACATTTATCCATTCTGCTGCTTTGGGTCATTTTCAAATTGGGGCAATTTTCAAATAGATGATTGGGTCATTTTCAAATTGGGGCAATTATGAATTAGGTTACTATGGGTATTTCCCTACATGTCTTTTTGTGAATGTAAGCATTCATTTCTCTTGGATAAATATGTAGCAGTAGAATTGCTGGGCTATCCAGTGCACATATATGAATGTTGTGTACATATATGCGTGTAAATATATAAAATATATATGTAGTTTGTTTTTTTGTTTAACCATAGCAAATCTTGCCGAATCATTTCCAAAATCTTACCAAATTATACTCCCATCAGCAAGATGTGAGTTTCAGGCATATTCTCAAACCCAACTGGGGATCTGCCCACCCAGCGCAGCAAAGCCAAACAGACTTTGGGATTGCAGTGAGAGAGTGAAGCATTTATTGCAGGGAGCCAAGCAGGGAGAATTGGGCAGCTCATGTTTAAGAGCCGAACTCCCCGATGGCTTACAGGTAAGGGTTTTAAAGGTGAGGGGACAGAGGTTACAGGCAAAGCCATAAATCAACACATGGAGGCTGTACATTGGTTTGACCTAAAAAGGTGGGACGTCTCCAAGCAGGAGGGAGGAGGAGGATGGGTGGCGCTGGTCACAGGATTCAAAGACTTTCCAATTTGTGATGGGTGAAATGGGCGAAGCTTTATCTAAAAATTTCAGATCAGCAGAAGGGAACGTTAGCTCTGGCTCGTAGGTGTGACCTCCTCCAAAACCCTCAGGAAGAAATTTAGAACAAAGAACGAGGTCAGGGTTCAATCCTCAGTTTCCCCTCATCTGAGGTCTACCTGCCAGTGGATTTGCTTGGTGGGGGCCTGAGTTTCTGAAAATCAACTCAGGGACATATGCTAAGATGTTATCTTTAGTTTCTATAGGGAACAAAACATCTTTTGACTCTAACTTCCTTGGCTACTGTTTTAAGTGACTATTACCTTCTTTTTTGTTGTTTTTGTTTTATTGGGTTTTTTTTCACTGCTCCTGTAGACCCTGAACTACTGTATTTTTGCTTATCGAGTTGCTCATTGACTTTTCAAGGCTAGTAAGGTGCCTGGAATTTCCCTCGAAAGAACTCCAGATTTTCCTTTATTTTCATGCTTGTGGGATGGGAGCAGTGGGTGGCCTGCAGACACCTAAGAGAGGTCCCTGCTCCATCCCAGTTGTTCCACATCTTTGTCAAGACTTGGTATTGTCAGTCCACTGAACTGTAGGCATTCTAGCAAAGGACAATGACTTCCTGTAGACCTCTGGTTTCTTGATTTCAGATCCCTGACATGGTAAGAACTAGATCCCCCAATGAGCTGCTACCCTTTCCTTATCCCACAGTGCCAGAAAAAAATCAAGGATTTACCCTCGCTGTCTCCGTATGCCCTGGAGCTGCTTACGGTGTATGCCTGGGAACAGGGGTGCAGAAAAGACAACTTTGACATTGCTGAAGGCGTCAGAACCGTACTGGAGCTGATCAAATGCCAGGAGAAGCTGTGTATCTATTGGATGGTCAACTACAACTTTGAAGATGAGACCATCAGGAACATCCTGCTGCACCAGCTCCAATCAGCGAGGTGCCAAGCTTCTCACACCCTATCCCTGTACCTCATCATCCGCATGCCAGGCATACCTCTTTGGAATGAGATCTCAGCCTTGCCCTATCAAGCCAGTGCTGGACCAGAAGAATGGCAGCCACCATGGGTGGGGAGGCAGATGGGTCTGTCTGAAAGAGGGGAGGTCCAGCCAGTGCTTTTCACATTCCAAACCATAGTCACATTTTGTCCCCTAAACAAACACTGGAGAGACACTTCCCCTTATAGAAGGAAGGAGCTAAGAGAGAAAGGGGATGGGGGGCAGGAAGAGGAGACCACTTTGTTATTTTATTAATAGAATGTCTCTGTAAAGCAGCAAACCCAGGGCCAGAGGGGCTTGATGTCGTAGACAAAATCCCTCAGCAGCTTGGAGGAGCTGCAGGAATCCAAATTCAAGTTGCCGGATTCCCACTCCAGGCCTCTTTCCCCAAAACAGATTTTGCCTCCCACAAGCAGCTCAACTGACTTTTTTTAATCTAATGGAATACACAGGCCAGTAATCTTGGATCCAGTTGACCCAACCAATAATGTGAGTGGAGATAAAATATGCTGGCAATGGCTGAAAAAAGAAGCTCAAACCTGGTTGACTTCTCCCAACCTGGATAATGAGTTACCTGCACCATCTTGGAATGTTCTGGTAAGAGGGTTTTCCAAATACAGGGTGTTTCATGCTGCAGGAAGGTCTTCCTGACACCCAGGCTAGGTCTTATCTGAGAGTACTCTATATTCGTTTCCTGTATTGCTGTTACAAAGTTCCACAACACAGATGGCTTAAAGCCACAGAAATTTATTCTCTTACCATTCTGGCTATTACAAGTTCAAAATCAGGGTGTTGGCAGAGCCAAGCTCTCTGCAGGCCCTAGGGAAGAATTATTCCAGGCTTCCTGCAGCTTCTGGTGGTTGCCAGCAGTCCTTGGCTTGTGGCTGCATCACTCCAGCCTCTGTCCCTGAGGTCACATGCCCTTCTCCCTACATGTCTTCACATCACCTTCCCTCTGTGCATGTCTGTCTTATCATCTCCTCTTCTTCTAAGAACAACAGTCATACTGAATTAGGGCCCAACATAATGACCTAATCTTCACTAGATCCCATTTGAAAAGACACTATTTCCAAGTAACACACATTCATCGATACTGTAGGTTGGAACCCCAGCATCTTTTAGGGAGACACAGTTCAACCCATCACACACCATCAGGGCAATGACTGTGAAGTGCAAAATGGAACAAAGAGAAAGGGGGGTACCCAAAGATGCGAGATCTCAATTAATTTTTGCAAGAGAGAAAGCTGGTGAGCAGGTGGAGACATGAAACGGAGCATTGCTCAGAGAAGGGGGTGGCAGTCAGGCCTGTGGATGCCAGGACAGGCTCTGAGCTCCGTTCAGGCAGGTGCCGGGGGCAACAGTCAGAAGTGCGGCCGAAACAAGAGAACCAATTAAGGCACCAGCTGTGAAACAGGTGCACTGGCCTTCCCCCTCCCATCCCCAAAAGGAGAAGTAAATCTGTCAACACAAACTCCCCTGCATGCTCAGTGCTTATTAGAGAAAAGCCATCCAAGAAGAACCTTCCCAGGTTAGACCACTGAGCCCTCTCAGCTTTCCTGGGAACCGCACTGGAGACAACTGTATTAATTGAGGCCAAAGAGGCCAATCAAATTCCACAGTTCACAGACAGATTAATTTATATTCAAGTTATGGGAGGCGGAATCTATACCCCGTTTGCACAGAAGTTTGAAGGCTAACTGAGTACCAATCTGGCATGTAAATGAAGATGTAAATGAGTTTAGCAAACTTCACAGAGGTTGGGGAGTCTATGAATGGGGAACTTCCCTAACTGGACCCAGAAGGATCAGGACGCTCTGAGCAGTCACCCCTGTGCCCACCCTAACCCCTACTTTCACTGGACCCCTGGTCTTTGCTCTCTGACCCCAATTTTCCCGGCTTCTTCAGACAGATTTTTTCAAAAAATTATCCCCCCGACCTGACATCTTATTCTGAAGCTTTGAAACATTTAAAAAGTTAGAAAAATGATTCAGTAAACTCCTATGATCCCCTCACATAGATGCAGTACCCATGTGCAACATTTGCTATGTTACAGTTTGTGTGTGCACACGTTATTATTGTTGTTGTTACAGTTGTTTTTAATCTTTTTTTAAGAGATGGGGCTATAACTCGCTACATTGGCCAGGCTGGTCTCAAACTCCTGGGCTCAAGTGATCCTCCCACCTGGCCTCCCAAAGCTCTGGGATTACAAGCGTGAGCCACCTCACCTGGCCCATTGTTATAGTTGTTGTTTATACTGAGCCCTTTGAGAGTAGACTGCCAGACATCTCTTTACCCTTAAATGCTTTCATAGGGATCTCTGAGAACAAGAATATTCTCTTCAATAACCTCCATGCCATGATCAAATTCAGGAGACTAGGAGTCATATATTATTGTCCCAATACAGCCCATTGGGATGATTTCGACAGTCATTCCAAGAAGGGCCTTTATAGGACATTCTTTTCCAACCCAGAAGCACATGTGGCATTTAGTTCCAAACATCTCCTAAACCATCTTTTGATACTCACTGTGGCTGTTTTTGTTCTGCTATCCCATCAACTTCTATTTTGAGAACTGTGAGACCATCCCTGTCTCTGCAGTTGTTGAAGAAAATTTAGGCCCAGGAACCACTGCATAAGGCGGTCCAAACATTGGGGGCTCATGCACACATACACACACACACACACACGTACATGCATACACAAACATGCACACACACACTCACACATGCACACACATGTACTCACACCATGCACACACGCACACACGCACACACATACATGCATACACACATGCATACATGCACTCACACACATGCACACACGTACTCACACCATGCACACACATGCACTCACACACATGCACACATGCACTCATGCACACACATGCATGCACACCATGCACACACATGCACTCACACACATGCACACACATGCACTCATACCACGCACACATATGCACTCACACACCACAAATATTCTGCCCTGTGGAAGGGGCAGTGTTGGCAATGAATATTCCTTCAATAGGCACCGTCCTCAGCAACTATAAGGCCAACTTACAACATCTGAGAACAACCAAGGTTGGCCTTCAACTTTCAAGCTGAGTGCCCTTCCCCACCTCCAGGTGAGCTAGCCCATCTTGTCTGTGTTGCCAGCAAAAGTACAATATTTGTATAGAACAGTAATTACTTGCCTCTTACTGCTGTTTTAAAAAAATGCCCTAAACTTAGTGGCTTAAAACACATGAATTTGAGCCAGGCACAGTGGCTCACACCTGTAATCCCAACACTTTGGGAGGCTGAGGCGGGAGGATCACTTGAGAACAGGAGTTTGAGACCAGCCTGAGCAACATAACAATACCCCGTCTCTACAAAAATAAATAAATAAATTAGCTGTAGTCCCAGCTAGTTGGGAGGCTGAGGCAGGACGATCACTTGAGCAAGGGAGATCAAGGTTGCAGTGAGCCATGATTGTGCCACTGCATTCAGCCTGGGTGACAGAACAAGACCCTGTCTCAAAATTACTTTTGCACCAACCAAAAAATATATATATACATATATATACACACACACATATACACATATATATACACATATATACATATATACACATATATGCACATATATATACACATATATACATATATACACATATATACATATATACACATATATACACATATATATACACATCTATACACATATATATATACACATATATATATATACATATATATGCTTCCTCACCTTTTCAAGCTCCTTGAGGTTGTCCAAATTTCTTGGCTCATGGCCCCTTCCTCCATCTTCAAAGCCAATAGCATAGCATCTTCCAGCCTCTCTCTCTACTTCCAACATCACACCACCTAACTCTAACTCCAACACCACCACACTCCAACTCTAACCCTCCTGCCTCCATCTTATAAGTACCCTTGTCCTTATAAGCACAGTGGCTCACGCCTGTAATTACAGCACTTTGAGAGGCTGAGGTGGGAGGATTGCTTAAGACCAAGAGTTTGAGACCAGCCTGGGGAACCTAGTGAGACTCCCATCTCTACAAAAAAAAAAAAAAAAAAAAAAAAAGCTAGGCGTGGTGGCACAAACCTGTAGTCCCAGCTACTCAGGAGACTGAGGCTGGAGGATCCCTTGAGCCCAGGAATTGGAGACTGCAGTGAGCTATAATGGCACCACTGCCCCCCAGCTTGGGTGACAGAGCGAGACACTATTTCTGAAAAAACATGGGTTAGAATCATGGGTTGGAAGGCTACCTGTTGGGTTCTATGCTCACTACCTAGGTGATGGGATCATTCATACACCAAGCCTCAGCGACATGCAATTTACCCATGTAAAACCCCACACATGTACCTCCTTGAACCTAAAGTAAAAGTGGAGAAAAATGTATTAATTAATTCAATTAAAAATTAAAATTAAGAGGAAAAAGACCCCTGTGATAACATCAGGCCAAACCAGGTAATGCAGAATAATCCTCCCATCTCTAGAGACTTAACCACGTGTGCTTCAGAGGGAGCACAGCTGTGCCAAAACCTGGACTTTGAACTGTTGGCCTCCAGAACTGGGAGAGAATAAACTTCTGTTGTTTTAAGCCACCTAGTTGTGGTCACTTGTTATGGCAGCCTTTGGAAACCAACACACCCGCACATGGCGTGTTTAACGCAGGCTGATACAACCTTAAGAAAGGAATGGATGTGGTCATCAGCAATCTCCAATACCTACAGCAAATGGGAAGACAGGGAAGGACCAGAGGTGTAGGTAAAGCAAAAAGCCACAGGTCATTAGGAAGTGATGCTCCAACTGGGCATGGAAAAGGAGTTTGGAGTTAGGAACACGACAGATCTGTCTGGACAAGGATCCAGATCTCTCCTAGGGGGAAGGAGGGGCAACTAGGACAGTTTTTGTGTCTGTGGGGGGTCTTGTGTGCCACTCCAAACTCTCAGGTGTGTTCTTGGGATGTATTTGTGCAATGACAAAAGACGGAAAAGATGCCAGCCCACGAGCAGGAGGGCAGTTGGGAGAGGCAGGGTAGGGGGCCCAGTACAGGCAGGAAAAGAAGCCTTGGGTGGGCTTACAGGTGCCACTCACACTTGGGGTCTTCCTTCCTTCCCCAGCCTGCACCACTCTTCACGACCCCAGGCCACCTTCTGGATAAGTTCATCAAGGAGTTTCTCCAGCCCAACAAATGCTTCCTAGAGCAGATTGACAGTGCTGTTAACATCATCCGTACATTCCTTAAAGAAAACTGCTTCCGACAATCAACAGCCAAGATCCAGATTGTCCGGGTGAGCACTGGCCTTTCTCATGTCTTGTTGGAATGATGTAATATTGGGCATTCCTGGAAGGGAGGTAAGTGGGCATTGTAGCTCTCCAGGATCCATCTACCTTCAGAAACTTGAGGAAGGGAAGCCAGGAGTTAAGGGAACTAGGACACTAGTTTTCAGGGGGGTTGTGGATAGACTGCCTAGGTCATTAACAACACAACTTTGATTCTGTATTGTTTTTCTTGGAGCTGTTGGCCGTCCTTGGGGCTCTTGGGCCTGGAGACACATCACTCCCGTCTCTGCCTCTGTCATCACCTTTTCTTCTGTGTCCTCCCCCTTCTCTTCTTTTCTAAGAACACTTGTCATAGGATTTAGGGCCCAGCCTGATCCAGAATGATCTCATCTCCAGGTCCTTAACTCAGTTACATCTGCGAAGACCCTTTTTCCAAATAAGGGCACATCCACAGGCCCCCAGAGCATGTATTTTTAGGGGTCCACCATTGAACCCACTGCAGATTCTAAGGAGCTTAGAATCTCCTTCTCCTTTGAGTGACTGGAGCCCGGCTTGCCCCATCAGCTGAGCTAGAGATTTAGAGGCTTTTGTCATTCTTGTCCGTGGCTCAAAGGCCACGGGGCTGACATGTTTCTCTCTGTTTACTGGTCACACGACCAGATAAACGTGTCCCCGTGGTCACAAGAAGGGAAGGAGGAAAATGTTATTATGTACGCGTAAATTTCTGCGTTGATGCCAGAACAAATCTGTGCAACTAGAGAAGAGGGGCCTGGGAAATGGCACCAATAGCCCCAGGGCAATGAGTGAACTGTCTCATTGAAGGTCACTGGAGTGAAAACAGGACTGAGTTTCTGATCAGTGTTAGAATTGTCAAAGCATGTGCTTTCTCCTCTCCTTCCTGAAACCCCATTCACATGATAGTCAGTGAAAAATAAAAGGTATATGACACATCAAAGAAGAAAAGAGAGCCATCGGCAGATAAGACATTGCTTTCCATCTTCCTGAAGTTGGTTGAAGGTTTCTCTGCTTAGGCCAGAGGAAGGTGACACCTAGAGATTGTAAGGAAGGGGCTACAGTCTGAGAGGAGCCGCCGAAGCCCACCTCTTAAAGACAAAGGTGGCCTGCATGAATGAAGGGGGCTGGAACAGGGATGAATTGAGGATCTGCATACAGGAAATAGAACATACCCTTTCCTCACCTCCTTAACCCATGTAATCAGGCATTTAATACCCATGGATAAAATAAAACATTTTTCTCTACAGAAACTAAATGGAGGAGAAAGAGGAGGAAGAGGAGGAGGGAGGGAAGGGAGAAGCCTTAATGGCAGAGACATAAATAGCCCACAAAGCCTAAAATACCTACTATCTGGCCCTTTTGCAGAAAGTTTACCAACCCTGTACCTCAATTATGGATATTCACCCAATGATCGCCAGACCTGCAGGAGAAAACACACATCAAAGAACAGATGAGCACCTTCACCATAATTATTGCATTCCGCTCGATTTATTTGGTTACAGGAATCCAAATAAAGCTAAATATGTCTTTAGGAAAATCTTTAGGAAATTGACCTGAGAAGCAGGTAACTTGTAACTAGCCCATCAGTTGTTCATGTATAAAAGGCAGGAGAATAATTGCCTTGGGAACTGTATTGTTTAATAACTGCATTATCTATTAGTTTGTAAAAGAAAACCCTTTGCTTTGGACTCAGCCCTCACTGAACCCTAACGCAGAACTTGGCCTTGGAAACAGTGTCAGTTAGCCCAACTGGTGCCAGCCCACGGGGGCACGGGACTCCTCGGTTAAGGAAATTCTGGATCTCAACCTTCCTTTCTTCCTTAGGGAGGATCAACCGCCAAAGGCACAGCTCTGAAGACTGGCTCTGATGCCGATCTCGTCGTGTTCCATAACTCACTTAAAAGCTACACCTCCCAAAAAAACGAGCGGCACAAAATCGTCAAGGAAATCCATGAACAGCTGAAAGCCTTTTGGAGGGAGAAGGAGGAGGAGCTTGAAGTCAGCTTTGAGCCTCCCAAGTGGAAGGCTCCCAGGGTGCTGAGCTTCTCTCTGAAATCCAAAGTCCTCAACGAAAGTGTCAGCTTTGATGTGCTTCCTGCCTTTAATGCACTGGGTAAGGCTCCCCAGACCTTAGCTTGGAAGTGATGGTGGACAGAAGGTGGAGGGAGAGCCACGTGACTTGATTACGGGCTCTGAAAACATGTGCCACTCATGGGTCCCTGGCCCCAGCAAGTGGCATTAGTCATGGCAGTAATACTTCACACTTGTAGACAATTTTGGTCCCATTTCTCTTTTCCAAGCATGGGGCTGTGTGCCTATAATCCCAGTAATCAGGGAGACTGAGGCAGGAGAATTGCTTGAACCCGGGAGGTGGAGGTTGCAGTGCGAGATCGTGCCACTGCACTCCAGCCTGGGTAACAGAGTGAGACTCCGTCTGAAAACAAACAAACAAACACACAAACAAAACAAGCAGTTGGGCTGGGCATAGAGGCTCACACCTGTAATCCCAGTATCTTGGGAGGCCGAGGCGGGAAGATTGCTTGATCCAGGAGTTCGAGACCAGCCTGGGCAACATAGTGAGACTTCATCCCAAAAATAAATAAATAAATAAATAAATAAATAATAAACAAAGTTAGCCAGGCATGGTGGCACACGCCTGTAGTCCCAGATACCCAGGAGGCTGAGGTGGGAGGATTGCTTGAGCCCAGGAGATGGAGGCTGCAGTGAGCTGTGATCATGCCACTGCACTCCAGTCTGGGGCAACAGAGCAAAACTCTGTCTCAAAAAAGCAAAAAACAACAACAACAACAAAAAAAAAAAAAAAAAAAAAAAAAAAAAAAAACAAGAAGCAGCGCACCAGATTTAGCCCAGGGGGCGGTAGTTCACAAAGTCCAGATCAGTGTCGTCCCAGAGATCTTTCTGTGATCATGAAAATGTTCTATGTCTGGGTTCTACAACTACTGAGAGCTTGACATGTGGCTACAGCAACTGAGGAACTAAATTTTTAATTTTCATTCCCTTTAATGAATGTGAGTGCAAATGGCCACATTGCTGGTGGCTGCTCTGTTAGTTTAAGTCTAGATAATACTTTAATAATACCAGCTGCACCTGTGTAGACCACATAATTTTTACATATCTCATTATTCTGGAGATGCTCCCTGTGTCTTAGACATCAGTCTTTTAAATATGCTAATACTATTCACAGTAATTTCCAAGAATTAAATCATATTTGTCAAAAATGTTTTGGAATCTGTTACTTACTATGTGTATTAAAGCAGGATGTCAATCTCTCCCTCATGCCAGGTCAGCTGAGTTCTGGCTCCACACCCAGCCCCGAGGTTTATGCAGGGCTCATTGATCTGTATAAATCCTCGGACCTCCCGGGAGGAGAGTTTTCTACCTGTTTCACAGTCCTGCAGCGAAACTTCATTCGCTCCCGGCCCACCAAACTAAAGGATTTAATTCGCCTGGTGAAGCACTGGTACAAAGAGGTAAGGACAGTCTTTGTTCTGACCATGGGGTTATTATTTTTACCAGTAAGCCATGAACATTAAGCCCTGTTGCCCACAATCTCCCATGCTGAGGGCTGAGCCACTTTGGAGAATCTGCCCACTGGATATCTTTACGACGTTCCCATCACTAACCCTATTCATTTGGGTCAGGCGTTGATGGCTTCTGCCCATCAAAGCTGCTACATGTGGTTTACTTTGCCCTCACACTGGCCAAAGAATTCTGCAGGAATCCAAGTGACCTTGCCTACAGAGGGTGGGTGGAAGCTGGGATTCACATGCCCACACATTGCCAATAGGACTTTTCTGCTTCCCGGCGCACATGCTCTCTCTCAGAAGGCAGGTTGAAGCTGTAGGTGGAACCGGGGCTGCATTTTCTATACACCCAGCTCACAGGAGCTTGAACAACTGGTCAGCCCCTGAGCCCCTACTACAAGTGATCCTCAGGCAGGTAACCCCAGATTCATGCACTGTAGGGTGCTGAGCAGCATCCCTAGTCTCTACCCAGTTTCCCCTCACTTGCACACAAAGTAGCTTCTGAACATCCTCATGACAGTAAACATCAAGCACGATATCAGCTCTTCCTGAGATGCCTCCTTTCTGTGTCCAGCTCCCTGAAATGTGAAACCAAGACCAAACTCTGTAGTTTTCATCCCAGAAAATCAGAGAGCTGGCATGGCGTGTCAGAAGACTTGGGGCTGTGGCGTGACCTTGAGTGAGTCACTCCACTTCCCGCAGCTTCAAAGTCTTCATCTAAAATGCAGGTCATGCTGCCTGCATTGTGGGGAAGATTAGGAATGATGTGGGTAAATGCCTGGGCCCATAGCTGGCATGCAGTGGGTTTCTAGTAAACTGTAGCTATGTTATTGTCCTAGGAAGGCATATATGGTCAAAAGCACAACAAAGAAACTCAAATGTGCTGCTGCCAGGTGGACTCCTGTAGGCTGTACAATTTAGACATCCAAGCTGCAGAGTGTGAGCACACCAGCACGACACTGTGACTCAGTTGCCTTGCTGTGGTCCCTGTGCGGCTCTCACTGAGCTCCTAGGCTAACCAGTTCGTCTGATGTTCCCACTCTTACCTAGTGTGAAAGGAAACTGAAGCCAAAGGGGTCTTTGCCCCCAAAGTATGCCTTGGAGCTGCTCACCATCTATGCCTGGGAGCAGGGGAGTGGAGTGCCGGATTTTGACACTGCAGAAGGTTTCCGGACAGTCCTGGAGCTGGTCACACAATATCAGCAGCTCTGCATCTTCTGGAAGGTCAATTACAACTTTGAAGATGAGACCGTGAGGAAGTTTCTACTGAGCCAGTTGCAGAAAACCAGGTGCCTTCACCCTAGCCCCGTACTTTTCTTAACCTGATTCCCTTGAACACTGTCTCAGCAACCTGGATTTTCCTCTGCTGGGGTCACGATTCATTCCTTGCATGACGGGGGAAAGTGCTAGCCAACAGAACCTGTCACAGTCTCCAGGGATAAAACCTAGCAGGGGCAGGAGAAAATGCTGTTCAGAAAAAATAGAGAAGGAAGGTTCAAGATACCACGTCCCTGAGCTGCTTTCATCTAAGAGGTGTTAGAGTTGGAAGTGTGTCCCTAAGAATTAACGCTATCATTCACGGGCCGATTTATCCTGCAGGGTTTTTATTGGGTTAGGGTTTATCTACTCTTTCAGACCTTCAAGAATAGTAAGAAATCATATCCATCTGCTTAGGGCCACCAGCAAGGGACAAAAACAATGGAAACCAGAGGAAAGGAAAGAGAGAAAATAAAGGAGCGTTGAAAAAGAATAGAGGAGAAGTAAGAGAGAAGGAGACCCCCGGTGGGTTGCCTACCCTGGGTTCTTGGCAACATTGTATTTGATTAAATTATGTATCATATTTTAGCTGACATAGCAAGGAGGAGATATTTAGACTATGCCTTCATTATGCCTTCATGAGTATAGCAATTAACAGCTTTCAAAACGCTTTTGGCAAATACAATTTAATTCTAGGAAGTTGCTTTGGTTTTGGCTTTTGTTTTTGTTTTTGAGACAGAGCCTCACTCTGTCACCCAGGCTGGAGTGCAGTGGCACAATCTCAGCTCACTGCAACCTCTGCCTCCCGGGTTCAAGCTGGTTCTCCTGCCTCAGCCTCCGAAGTAGCTGGGACTACAGGTGCGCACCACCACGCCCAGCTAATTTTTGTATTTTTAGTAGAGATGGGGTTTCTGCATGTTGGCCAGGATGTTCTCGAACTCCTGGCCCTCAAGTGATCCTCCCACTTCAGCCTCCCAAAGTGCTGGGATTACAGGCATGAGCCACTGCACGCGGCCTCTAGAAAGTTACTTTGAACCCTACTAGTAAATTTGAGTTGCTGACATCTAAGCTGTAAGAACACATTGTCTTATTGCTGAAAGTATTATAGGATGGACCCCAAATTCTGAAGTCACTGGGATTTGGAATCTCCTAATGCCTTCTAACCTCTCATTCAGGCCTGTGATCTTGGACCCAGCCGAACCCACAGGTGACGTGGGTGGAGGGGACCGTTGGTGTTGGCATCTTCTGGCAAAAGAAGCAAAGGAATGGTTATCCTCTCCCTGCTTCAAGGATGGGACTGGAAACCCAATACCACCTTGGAAAGTGCCGGTAAAAGTCATCTAAAGGAGGCGTTGTCTGGAAATAGCCCTGTAACAGGCTTGAATCAAAGAACTTCTCCTACTGTAGCAACCTGAAATTAACTCAGACACAAATAAAGGAAACCCAGCTCACAGGAGCTTAAACAGCTGGTCAGCCCCCTAAGCCCCCACTACAAGTGATCCTCAGGCAGGTAACCCCAGATTCATGCACTGTAGGGTGCTGCGCAGCATCCCTAGTCTCTACCCAGTAGATGCCACTAGCCCTCCTCTCCCAGTGACAACCAAAAGTCTTCAGACATTGTCAAACGTTCCCCTGGGTTCACAGATCTTTCTGCCTTTGGCTTTTGGCTCCACCCTCTTTAGCTGTTAATTTGAGTACTTATGGCCCTGAAAGCGGCCACGGTGCCTCCAGATGGCAGGTTTGCAATCCAAGCAGGAAGAAGGAAAAGATACCCAAAGGTCAAGAACACAGTGATTTTATTAGAAGTTTCATCCGCAAATTTTCTTCCATTTCATTGCTCAGAAATGTCATGTGGCTACCTGTAACTTGAAGGTGGCTACAAAGATGACTGTGGACGTGGGTTGCACTGGCCACCCAAGGATGTCTGCCACACCTCTCCAAAGCCCTCCCTACCTACCAAGATATACCTGATATATTCCACCAGGATATCCTCCCTCCAGATATACTTGGTTCTCTCCACCAGGTTCTTTCTTTAAAGCAGGATTTCTCAACTTTGATACTTACTCACATTTGGGGCTAGACAGTTCTTTGTTTGGAGGCTCTCTTGTGCATTGTAGGATGTTGAGCAGCATCTCTGGCCTGTACCCAGTAGATGCCACCCAGTTGTGACAATTAAAAGTGTCTTGAGACTTTATCATGTGTCTTCTGCCCTAGGTGAGAACCCTTGCACTAGAGGAACCCTACACCCCAACCCTGGGGGGAATGTAGGGAAGAGGTGGCCAAGCCAACCGTGGGGTTAGCTCTAATTATTAAGATATGCATTATAAATAAATACCAAAAAATTGTCTCTGGCAATAGTTACCTTCCCAGATACAGGTCCCCCCTTTTTTCCCCTAACTCTTTTAAGCAATGATTGTAACTATTAGGAGACATTGCTCTCCCACGTATGTTTTTCTTTTTAGACAATGCAGACACCAGGAAGTTGTGGAGCTAGGATCCATCCTATTGTCAATGAGATGTTCTCATCCAGAAGCCATAGAATCCTGAATAATAATTCTAAAAGAAACTTCTAGAGATCATCTGGCAATCGCTTTTAAAGACTCGGCTCACCGTGAGAAAGAGTCACTCACATCCATTCTTCCCTTGATGGTCCCTATTCCTCCTTCCCTTGCTTCTTGGACTTCTTGAAATCAATCAAGACTGCAAACCCTTTCATAAAGTCTTGCCTTGCTGAACTCCCTCTCTGCAGGCAGCCTGCCTTTAAAAATAGTTGCTGTCATCCACTTTATGTGCATCTTATTTCTGTCAACTTGTATTTTTTTTCTTGTATTTTTCCAATTAGCTCCTCCTTTTTCCTTCCAGTCTAAAAAAGGAATCCTCTGTGTCTTCAAAGCAAAGCTCTTTACTTTCCCCTTGGTTCTCATAACTCTGTGATCTTGCTCTCGGTGCTTCCAACTCATCCACGTCCTGTCTGTTTCCTCTGTATACAAAACCCTTTCTGCCCCTGCTGACACAGACATCCTCTATGCCAGCAGCCAGCCAACCCTTTCATTAGAACTTCAAGCTCTCCAAAGGCTCAGATTATAACTGTTGTCATATTTATATGAGGCTGTTGTCTTTTCCTTCTGAGCCTGCCTTTCTCCCCCCCACCCAGGAGTATCCTCTTGCCAAATCAAAAGACTTTTTCCTTGGGCTTTAGCCTTAAAGATACTTGAAGGTCTAGGTGCTTTAACCTCACATACCCTCACTTAAACTTTTATCACTGTTGCATATACCAGTTGTGATACAATAAAGAATGTATCTGGATTTTGTGCCTAGTTCCTAGCACACAGCTTCAAAAATTCTAGAGTTTCCTGATAGGAGTGTCTTTTGTATTCATAACAAGCCCTTTTCACCCATGCCTGGGTTTATGCTAACAAGGTTACCCATGGTGGGCCCTTAGTTTCAAGGAAGGAGTTGGCCAAGCCAGAAAGACCAAGCATGTGGTTAAAGCATTGGAATTTTCAGCCCCATCCCACCCCCAATCTCCAAGGAGGTGATGGGGCTGGAAATTGAGTTCAATTTTAACATGGCCAGTGATTTAAGCAATGCTGCCTATGTAAAGAAACCCCAATAAAAACTCTGGACAGTGAGGCTTGGGGAGCTTCCTGATTGGCAGACATTCCAATGTACTAGGAAGGTAGCGCATCTTGATTCCACAGGGACAAAGGCTCCTGAGCTCTGGGCCCTTCCAGTGCTTGCCACCCTACATACTCTTTGTCTGGCTCTTCATTTGTATTCTTTATAATAAAATGGTGATTGTAAGTAGAGCATTTTCCTGAGTTCTATGAGTCATTCTGCAAATTATCAAAACTGAAGGAAAGTCATGGAAACTCCCAAGTTTGTAACCAAGTCGGACAGAGGTGTGGGTAGCCTGGGGACCCCATGTATGGCTGGAGTCTGAAAGAAGGGTGGACTTGGTGAGGACCTTGCTCTTTAAATTGTGGGATCTACACACATTCCAGGTAGTCAGTGCCAGACTTGACTTAAATTGCAGGACAGTCAGCTGGTGTCACAGATTAGGTGTTGGAATGCACCACTACTCTTGTCCAGGATGCAGGCAAAAGAAATATATATGAAGATGTTGAAAAATGGAAGAATACAGGAAACAAGCATGAGAAGAAAAGGCAAAAATAATTTTTAAAAAGTTTTTTAAATGATAAAAAACATTTAATGAAAGAATGACCACTTTAAGTACACATCTACTCAGTCTACAACTAGTTACCAGGGCCTTCTGGATGCCCAAACTTGCACTAGATACATAGGCAGGAAACACGGAAGCAGAAACTGTGAGACGCTGTCCCCATCCTCACAGGGCTTGGCTGGAGGAACTGGAACACATAGCCCTAAATCCCTTAAAGAAAAATGAAGGGCCAGGCTTGATGGCTCACACCAGTAATCCCAGCACTTTGGGAGGCCGAGGCAGACAGATCACTAGAGATTAAGAGTTTGAGACCAGCCTGGACAACATGATGAAACTCCACCTCTACTAAAACTACAAAAAATTAGCTGGGCATGGTTGCAGATGCCTGCAATCCCAGCTACCCAGGAGGCTGAGACAGGAGAATTACTTAAGCCTGGGAGGCGGAGGTTGCAGTGAGCCGAGATCGCGCCACTGTACTCCAGCCTGGGCAACAAAGTGAGGCTCCGTCTCAAAAAAAAAAAAAAAGAAAAGAAAAGAAAAGAAAAATGAAGGGCAGTTTACCACACGTGCCAAGTGAGATGTATATGATGAGAAAGACCATAAAGAAAAAGGTGAGCTGCTCAAAGCCATACAAATGCAGAACAGGACCATTTCAGTTTTTCTCATCAATGTCTTCTCAGCACTCAGTAGACATTTAAACTCATTAAGAGCAAAGAGAATAAAATGTTCACAGTAATCAAGAAACATGCAGTCATGGGTCACTACTGGAAGTAGCTAGGGCACCAATTCTTTCTAAGAAAATTGGCAACAAATGGCCCTGAATAGGCAATAATTAAACCCGGCCTTTCTTATACAAACTGTATTTCAGGATTAAAAGAGCAGCCATAACTGACGAGGAAATTTTATTATTTTTTTTACGGAAGAATTCCATTTAATAAATGTTTAAAAGATGACAAATTAGAAACATCATCATTTTGTAACCGTAATAGGTTTCTTGCCCTATGCACACAGCAAGTCAATAGGCTGAGACACCAGGTTGCAGCAGACAAAGAGGTTTCATTGTAGGGCTGCCAAATGCAGAGATAGGAGGAAACCTCAAATCTGCCTCCCTGAAGAGTTGGGGGCTAGGGTTTTTAAGGGTTTGGGAGTGGGCCAAAGTGTGGAGATCGTTGATTGGTTGAAGAGTGCAGCGTGAAGTCATGGGACAGGGAGAGGAAGAAACTGTGTTCTCATAGTACTGCCGACTCAGTGCCTCTGTTGGGGTCTTCAAACTGGTTGCCATCAGCTGTTCTGCTGGAACTCAGGATCAGAAGAACATCTTAAGCAATTCTTAAACAGAAGCCTTATGTTTTTTTTTGTTTGTTTGTTTGTTTGTTTTTTTGAGGCAGGGGTCTAGCTGTGTCACCCAGGCTGGAGTGCAGCAGTGTGATCTCGGCTCACTGCAAACTCCATCTCCCAGGCTCAACTGATCCTCCTACCTCAGCCTCCTGAGTTGCTGGGACTACAAGCACACACCACCACACCCACCTAATTTTTGTATTTTTTTGTAGAGACTGGGTTTCACCATGTTACTCAGGCTGGTCTTGAACTCCTGAGCTCAGGTGATCTGCCTGCATCGGCTTCCCAAAGTGCTAGAATTACAGGTGTGAGCCACCGTGCCTGGCCAAAAGCCTTATGATTCTAATGTCAGAGATCCTATAGGAACAATGGGGATGTAAATGGTCAGTATCTAGTGCTCCTGCCATTCAGTTACAAGGAAGTGGACCAAAGTGCAGCATGATTAATGCTTAATTACAACAATATTTCTGTCCAGAATTCACGTTAACCCTATGAGGATGGCTTTAATTTTGCAACCTACAATAAAATAAATGATTTAGGCAGAGATTATCAATGGGTGAAACCATTAGATGAAATGATGGGGAAGGCTATAATGGGGTGGGGGGATGTCACCTCCCAAATCCACAGGGTTTATTTTTATTTTTTTATTTTTAATTTTGAGACAGGGTCTCACTCTGTTACCCAGGCTGGAGTACAGTGGCACAATCACAGCTCAATGCAGCCTCAATCTCCCAGACTCAAATGATCCTCCCACCTCAGCCTCCTATGTAGCTGGGACCACAACAGCACACCACGACGCCTAGCTAATTATTAAAATTTGTTAGTAGAAACGGGGTTTCACCATGTTGCCAGACTGGTCTCAAACTCCTGATCTCATGCAATCCTCTCACCTCAGCCTCCCAAAGTGCTGGTATTACAGGCATGAGCCACCATTCCTGGTACCAAATCCACAGTTTAATCTCAGTGTTAGCAGAAGGGACAGCCAAACATGGTGTGCCTCCAGGCATGAGACAGTACAGAGCACACAGCACAATCCATTATGTGTTCTTGCCAAATCAATTTTTTAAATTTGACACCAACATTGGCTACGAGAAACAAAACAATTGAGTTAGCAAATTCCAGAGAAAATGTATAGGCCAGACAGACTTCAAAGAAAGAGAACAAAATATGGAGAAACCAGGACAGAAATGTGGAAGGGTGTGCATTCTCCTAACCACAAAAGGGAAACGAGCCAAGAACCTAAGAAGAATCCAGTTAAGCAGAGTTCAAGGTCAAGACCCCAGACCTATAGTTCGACCCCGGTTACCCTAGCAACAAGATCCCCACTTACATCAAAGGAAGGAAGCAATGATTAGACGCAGGAACGCTCATGGTGAGTGGCCAATGGCCCAGGGGGCAGTTTAGGAAGAGTTTGAGTGACCGACCACGAACAAGGTCACCAGTGGGGAGAGGTTGTGGATAAAAGGAGCCTGCATGCTGGAGGGCTTCGGCTGCTCTGACCCGAGGCTCCTCCAGCTGAGCTTGGTCAGATTGCAGCAGGTAAGATGCTATCACTCCTCGGTTCCATTCACTGGCACCAGTGCCTGGGATAAACCTCAGACAGGGGAAAGGTGAGGAAGGAAGCTCTCCTTTGCCTGGTACTGCCCTATGTGAGTTGGGCTGGGTGCACTGGAGTGTTGTGTAGACCTGGAGGGAAGAATCTGGTAAGGAGAGCAGGATATGAGGATCCCAGCAACTCAGCCCAACCAGGAGGGTCCCATCCAAGCAACAGTGTCCCACATGCTCATCTTGGATGGAGTTCCTCAAAGAGGTGCCGTATCCAAGCCAGCGTCCCTTGGTTGTAGGGCCAGGCTAGGAATTGCAGAGGGAAACTCGTCATGTTCCTGAGGGAATGAGGATGTGGGGCTCCAATTGGCAGGGCAGGGAGTTATTGGCAGGAAAAGGGGAAAAGCTCAGCTTTGGGGCAGGGGTGGTTACAAAATAAGATCCTTTGCCAAGGCTCAGCCAGGAGAAAAAGGCTCACAAAGGGCTTAACTGAAGCCCTGGCCAGAAGGGAAAAGATCCCAAAGTTGAAAGAGCAAGATAAAAAGGCCTTGGCATACCTGTGTCCTGGTTGAGGGTCTTCAGGGTTCTTTAGGGCCCAAGGCCGAAGGTGGCAGAGTCTACCTAGAACTATGCTTTGTGATGTTCTGGGGAAAGGCTTTCGACTTGTTGGCTATGCTATTCAGTATGGCTATATTGTGCTTTTGAATACATTGGTGGTGTTGTTATGTGTTCTGGACCACCAACGGAGCCTACCATTCAAAATTCAGATACTGTCTTTGCAGAAAATCTTGGTGTACATTTGTACGGTATTCAAAGAGGTGACATTGTGATTGCAAAAAGCCCAAGTGATCCAAAATCAAATATTTGTAAAAAAGTAATTGGAAGGAGACAAAATCCTCGCCACTAGTCCATCAGATTTCTTTAAAAGCCGTAGTTATGTGCCAGTGGGTCATGTTTGGTTAGAAGGTGATAATCTACAGAATTCTACAGATTCCAGGTACTATGGACCTATTCCATATCGACTAATAAGAGGACGAATCTTCTTTAAGATTTGGCCTCTGAGTGATTTTGAGTTTTTACGTGCCAGCTCTAATGGCCACAGATTTTCTGATGATTGGTAAGCATTTATTCTTTTGACTTGATTATTGTCTCCTATTCATTTATTACTCCCATTAAAACCATGTACTTACCAATAAACTATTTGCTATTCAGAAAAACAAAAAAAGGCACAGTGGCTCATGCCTGTAATCCCAGCACTTTGGGAGGCTTAGGCGGGTGGATCACCTGAGGCCAGGAGTTCAAGACCAGCCTGGGCAACATGGTGAAACCCCGTCTCTACTAAAAATACAAAAAAAAATTAGTCAGGCATAGTGGCATTCCTGTAATGCCAGCTACCTGGGAGGCTGAGGCACAAGAATTGCTTGAACCCGGGAGGCAGAGGTTGCAGTGAGCCAAGATGGCGCCACTGCACTCCAGCCTGGGGTTATAGAGTGAGACTCCGTTTGAAAGGAGGATTTGGCCAGGATGATGGCTAGGATAATGGAAGAATGGGGTGGCCAGCCGGTGACCACTATGAACTTGAAGCTCAATTCCTTCTGACAGCAGGAGAGAAAATGCCACTAAACCCATGGGAGGCAAGAAGGGGTACAGGAGAGCAGAGGAATAGCCCCCCAAAGATGTCCATATCCTAATTGAAAGCAATGGCAAAAACTGTAATTACTTTTGCACAAACCTACTAATCACATGAGTCCTTAGAAACAGAGACCCTTTCCCAGCTGAAGGTAGAGAGATTCACTGGAGAAGAGGCAGGAGACAAACCTGAGCTGCTGTCACTGGTTTGAAGATGAAAGGAGCCATGGATCAGGAAACATGGCACCCTCCAGAAGCTAAGAACAGCCCCAGCCAACATCTAGCATGGAGACAGGGCCCTCCGCCCTGCAACCACATGGAACAGAATTCTACCCACAAGAGTGAGTCTGGAAGCGGATTCTCCCCAGAGCCTCCAGAAAGGAAGGCAGCCCAGCTGTCACCTTGATTCCAGCCTGGCGGGGCTCAGAGCAATCACCCACATTGCTTGGTTTACGACCCCTTCCTGGCATCACCCCAACCTCTCAATTTCCTCATCACATCTACTACTACTGACACTTATGTCTTGTCTCCCTCGTATAAGGACCCTTGGGATTACATCAAACCCACCAGCATAATCTCCCCCTGCAAAATTCTTAACTTAATCATATCTGCAGAGTCCTTTATGCCATATAAGGTAACATATTCACAGGTTCTGGGGATTAGGACATGGACATTTTGAGGAGGTAATTATTCAGTCTACCACACTGGGTGTATTAGTCTGTTCTCATGCTGCTAATAAAGACATATCTGAGATTGGGTAATTTATAAAGAAAAGCAGTTTAATTGACTTACAGTTCTGCGTAGCTGGGGAGGTCTCGGGAAACTTGCAACCATGGCAGAAGGCACCTCTTCACAGGGCGGCGGCAGGTGAGAGAATGAGCGCTGACCAGAGGAGGAAGACCCTTATAAAACCATCAGGTCAGGCCAGGTGCAGCAGCTCACGCCTGTAATCCTAGCACTTTGGAAGGCCAAGGCAGGCGGATCACAAGGTCAAGAGATCGAGACCATCCTGGCCAACATAGTGAAACCCTGTCTCTACTAAAAATACAAAAATTAGCTGGGCGTCGTGGCGTGCACCTGTAATCCCAGCTACTCAGGAGGTTAAGGTAGGAGAATCACTTGAACTCAGGAGGCGGAGGTTGCAGTGAGCCGAGATCGCGCCACTGCACTCCAGCCTGGCAACAGAGCAAGATTCCGAAAAAAAAAAAAAAAAAAAAAAAAAAACACCGTCAGGTCTCGTGAGAACTCACTCTCACGAGAACAGCATGGGAAAAACCGGCCCAATGATTCCATTATCTCCACCTGGTCCAGCCTTTGACACGTGCGGATTATTACAGTTCAAGGTGAGATTTGGGTGGCAACACAGAGCCAAACCCTATCACTGGGCATTGGCAAACAGTTAGTATTTAAACCATGACACTAGAGAGAGAACCTAGAAAGTGAGTGTAAACAGAGAAGAACAGGCCTGGGCTGGGCAGTGGCTTACACCTATAACCCAGTGCTTTGGGAGACTGAGGCAGGAGGATTGCTTGAGGTCAGGAGCTCAATGCTGCAGTGAGCTCTGATCAACCCACTGCACTCTAGCCTGGTCAACAGAGCAAGACCCTGTCTCTAAAAAAGAAAGAAAGGAAAAGAACAGCTCCAGCGACTGAGATCTGGGGTTTCAATTGCCCCAACCTGTGTCAAACTCTTTTCAAAGACCTCCAAAGTCCCACGTGTTTCTCCTCTCCCCTCTCTTCCTCCCCGATCCAGACAGTCTCTGTGCCCCGGAGAGGAAGAGGAAGAAAATGGCAGCTCACTCCACAATCCCAGTGCCAGGAGGCCTGAAGCCATGATATGCTACAACGAAAGTACCTTAGAAAAATATTTACAAAAAATTGGCTGGGCGTGGTGGCTCATGCCTGTAATCTCGGCACTTTGGGAGGCCGAGGCAGGCGGATCACCTGGGGTCAGGAGTTCGAGACCAGCCTGGCCAACATGCAGGTAGAGACAGTTCAACTCCTGTCTCTACTAAAAATACAAAAATTATCCAGGCATGGTGGTGGGCGCCTGTAATCCCGGCACTTTGGGAGGCCGAGGCAGGTGGATCACCTGGGGTCAGGAGTTCAAGACCAGCCTGGCCAACATGCAGGTAGAGACAGTTCAACTCCTGTCTCTACTAAAAATACAAAAATTATCCAGGCATGGTGGTGGGGACCTGAATCCCAGGTACTCCAGAGGCTGAGGCAGGAGAATCACTTGAACCCAGGAGGTGGAGGTTGCAGTAAGCCAAGATTGTGCCACTCCAGCCTCCAGCCTGGATGACAGAGCAAGACTCCGTCTCAAAAAAAAAAAAAAAAAAGAAAAAAAGAAAAAATTTACAAAAAATAAAAATATAAATGAAGCCACAATATACCTGGAGCTCTGGGGATGTGGGGCTCCTGGGACACAGCTGTCACCCAGCACACTGGGCAGGAACAGTCACGCCCAATTGCTGGGCTAACAGCCTCCTGGTGAATTAGGAATGAGGACTCGCCTTCGTCTCTGCTTTGTCAAAATTCCTCCAGGAAATGAGTAAGATAAAATTCATCCCATTCTTGTTCCTCCATGCCCTGCCTCTTCCTTCACTGAGCAGTTTTTCTACTGCAAACACAATGCTCATGTCAGAAAAAAAAGAGACAGAACTACATCATTCAACACCTACTGATTAAACGCCAACTTCTGAACACTGACATTTGATGCTTCTGACATGCTCTTGATAGATTCACATTTTACAGAGGGGGAAAGGGACTTGGCAGTTGCAGAACTGATTCAAGGCTGCAGAGCTTATAAGAGCCTGGAATTTGATCCAAGCTGGAATTTGATTCTTTCCTATGGTTGCTGTAACAAATTACCGGAAACTTAGTGGCTTAAAACAACAAAAATATATATATTCCATTACAGTTCTGGAGGTCAGAAGTCTGAAATGGGCTTCCTTGGCCTTCATTTCCTCTAAGATTTGTGTCTTGCGTGCTTTTCAGAGATCCACTGCCTATTTGCAGTGAAGCAAGGTATCAATAGAGCTGCTTCCTTCTAGAGGCTCTAGGGGAGATCCATTCTTTGCCTCTTCCACCTTCTAAAGGCCACCTGCATTCCTCAGCTTACAGCTGCAATTGCTATAATCTCTGTCTCCATGGTCTCATTGCTTTCTCCTCCTTATACCTCTGGCTTTGACCACCCCACCTCCCAGCCCCACTTCCTCCCTCTTATAAGGACCCATTCCTAAGGTGTATACCCAGTGAAAATATATATCTGATATGGCTTGGCTGTGTCCCCACCCAAATCTCATGTCGAATTGTAATCCCCAATGTTGGAGGTAGGGCCTGATGGGAGGTGATTAGATCACGGAAGTGTTTCTCATGAATAGTTCAGCACCATCCCCTTGGTGCTCTTCTCGTGATAGTGAGTGAGTTCTTCAGAGATCTGGTTATTTAAGAGTGTTTAGCACCTCCCCTGTCTTGCTCCTGTTCCCACCATGTGAGACACCTCACTCCCTTTTGCCTCCTGCCATGATTGGAAGCTTCCTGAGGTCTCCCCAGAAGCAAAAGCTACTATGTTTCCTGTACAGCCTGCAGAACCAGGAGCCAATTAAACCTCTTTTCTTTATTAATTACCCAGCAATTCTCTCGTATTGCTCTGAAGGAATACCTGAGACTGGGTAATTAATATAATATTTTTAAAAATTTGCACTCACATGTTCATAGGAACTCTATTCATAATAGCCAAAAACTAGAAATGACCCAAATGTTTCAACAACAGAGGAACAGAGAAATAAATTGTGGCAAAGATATGCAATGGAATACTACCTAGCAAAAGAGAAGGAACAAATACCAATAACATGGAACAGCATGAATGAGTTTTGCAGGCTTAACACTGAGTACAAGGAGCAAGATACAAATGAGTGCAGGCAGCACGATTCCATTCACATGAAGTTCAAGAACAAGCAAACTACTTTCTGGTGAAAGCAATCAGATGGTGATTACTGGACAGTGGTCGCTGAGTAGGTGGGGTAAGGTGGTTCTTTTAAGCACATTTTTAGTATTTGCTAATCTGTCCGTTTGTGCTTCTGGACTTTTAGGTATGTTTGCCATATTTCACACAAGAAAAGCTAAAATTTTACATTTTCTTCATTACCTCTAAGATCTGTGTCTAGCATGCTTTTCAGAGAGTCACTGCCTATTTGCACTTATCTTTCTGATAACCACCTGCCCGTGTCCTTTGTCCACTTCTCTAGGTTGGTTTCCTTTTACCTAGATTTGTACAAGCTCTTTCCATATTAAATAATCCAGGCTTTTTAACTAGTGATGCAGGCATTCTCCCCTGGTGCTTTGTTTATACATTCCAGTCATTAAATTGTGTGATTTTTTTCCTTTGAGTTTTATGTCATCATTAGAAAGCTCTCCACTTCTGGGACTTCATTTGTTTTTGTTTTTACGTTTTCATCTTTTATCAGAGATTTTCATGGTTTTGTCTAGAATTTTTTAGTGTAAGAAATCAAATGGAAATTCAGCTTTATTTTATTGTTAAGGCCAGTTACCTTAACATCTTACCACTTTCTCATAGGTGAGTAGTGCTTCCTTTATCATACACCCAATTCCCTTTGTATTGGGCATGTTTTTTAACCTTTTTTTTTTTCCACGGAGACTCATTCTGTCACCCACACCGGAGTGCAGTGGTGCAATCTTGGCTCACTGCAACCTCTGCCTCCCGGGCTCAAGCAATTCTCCTGTCTCAGCCTACCAAGTATCTGGGATTACAGGTGCCCACCACCACCCCCAGCTAATTTTGTATTTTTAGTAGAGACAGGGTTTCATCATGTTGGCCAGGCTGGTCTCGAACTCCTGACCTCAGGTGATCCACCTGCCTCGGCCTCCCAAAGTGCTGGAATTACAGGTGTGGGCCACCACACACAGCTCTGAACCTTCTTTTGTGTCACTCATACATGCACCACCCATTCCTGTACCAGGGTCTTCATGGAAGAAAACTCCAGCTAACTGAACTGTTATCCTGCTATGGAATGTGTCTTTCATACACACACACAGGGACTGACTCATGCTTCCTCTTTACCTGGAATATCTTTACCCCGTATCTTAGCAGACACACTCCCATATCTCAAGCATCATGGCAAACACCACCTCCTCTAAGTCTTTCTTAATCTTCTGAGTGATGTGCACTCTAGGGAAATCTAGCATCTTGGCTTTGGACATATTTCCAAAGCCTATTCCCATGACTATTTCCAAAGACTATGTTGGTCTGTAGGAAGAGAGTTTTGGATCTACCAATAAATCAACTGACATCTCAATGGTTATTGAAGGAGAGTCCATCAGTCTGCAGGTAACCCATGCTAAGATAGAGCTAGAATGAGAACAAGAACTGACAGTTGTATAACTTTGCTGGTTGCTAAAGTATTAAAGTATTGTATGATATGGTGTTTTGGTCCATTCTCACATTGCTATAAATAAATACTTGAGACTGGGCAGTTTATAAAGAAAAGATGCTTAATTGGCTCACAGTTCTGCAAGCTGTACAGGAAGCATGGCAACATCTGCTTCTGGGGAGGCCTCAGGAAGCTTCCAATTATGGTGGAAGGCAAAGGGTGAACAGACAAATCACATGGCGAAAGCAGGAGCAAGAGAATGAGGGCAGGAGGTGCTACACACTTTTAAAGAACCAGATCTCATGAGAACTCATGCACTATTGTGAGAACAGTACCAAGGGGAATGGTGCCAAACCATTCATGGGAAATCCACCTCCATGATCCAATCACTGCCCACCAGGCCCGACCTCCAACATTGGAGATTACATTTCAATGTGAGATTTGGGTGGGAACACACATCCAAACTATCTCATATGCCATGGTGCATTTGCTCTAGGTTTTAAGTTTCTTGAGAGTAGAAATGAAATACGTCTTTGTGGAAGCCAACGCAGCTCCATCTCAGACGCTAATCCACCATATGGGCTTCTGATTAACCCCAGTTCCAAGAAGTCCCCTAAAATTTCCAGTTTATCTATTGTTCCTTGTGGAAGAGCAGGTACTTGCTATAAATCTTGCTCCCAGGTCAAACCACCTTGATGTTTTCTACATCAATTGCCCTAAGCATCCCTTCTGAATCATCCTTTCCTTATGGTATATAAGTCCTGGGTCTGGGAGTAATAGTGAAACTGCCTTTGCAAAAATTCTAACACTGAGAAAATTATGACGGTGAAAGAGATCTGACCTAACCAACTCCATCTTGCCTTTAACCTCCAAGCTTCCCTTCTTCACTCCTGGGAATAGGCTGAACTAAATTTGGGGAGGAATTTAGTTTGGAGTTTAGCTTTAAAACAAAGGTGATAAGACTCCTTCCCCAAAAGAAACCCCCTCCTTGCTTAGAGCTCAAACCACCTCTGTAAAACCAACACATTAACCACAAGATTAGAAATTATAGCTCAGGAGTCACGCAGACAGAGGCCACAAGATTCCTAACCTCCCCAGTTGCTCCTGTGGGTAATGTTACTATTGTAAGACCTAGGACTGGTGTTAGAGATATTTTTCAGCCACTGAATTCTGATGGATCAGTTGGTCCCACCCAGACCAGTAAACTGGCTCATCTGGCCTTATGGCCCCCACCCAGGAACTGATGTGGTACAAGAAGACATCTTCAACTCCCTATGATTTCAGCCCCAAACCCACCAATCAACATTCCTCATTCCCTACCCTTCATCTTCCAAACTATCTTTTTTTTTTTTTTTTGGAGACAGAATCTCACTCTGTTGCCCAGGCTGGAGTGCAGTGGTGCAATCTCAGCTCACTGCAACCTCCGCCTCCCTAGTTCAAGCGATTCTCCTGCCTCAGCCTCCTGAGTAGCTGGGATTACAGGCACGTGCCACCACGCCTGGCTAATTTTTTTATTTTTATTTTTTAGTAGAGATGGGGTTTCACCATGTTGATCAGGCTGGTCTCGAACTCCTGACCTCATGATCCACCCACCTCGGCCTCCCAAAGTGCTGGGATTACAGGCATGAGCCACCGTGCCTGGCCTAAAACCCCTAGCCTCTGAATATTCAGGGAAGCTGATTTAAGTTAACAATAAAACTCCAGTCTCCCATTTAACTGCCTCTATGAGTATTAAACTCTTTATTGCAATTCCCCTGTCTTGATAAGTTGGCTCTATCTAGGCAGTGGGCAGCAAGAACCCACTGGGCAGTCATAATAGCGTGGGGATCCACCATCTGGTCTTCCCACTGCACAAGACACAGACATGGCTTCAGTTTGTAAGACCCTGTTAAGTATTTCTTCCTAAGAAACTTGATTTACCAGCCTCTTTCTTTGGCCTCTCAGCTTCTTCTAACTTTTGAGGGTAGGTTTGTATAGACCTGCCCACTGCAGAACGACCTTGTATTCATGTATTTAGTCACTGACATCCACGGAGATTGGTCAACAGAAGGAACTTGGAATATCCAGTAAACTATAATAATGCTATTTGCCTCCTGTCCCAAAGTGCTAACTGAGAAAAACAACGCCAGATATTTGACTAGGTTTGTTCATCCAAAACACGCCTAGCTGTGATGTGTTTCTTTGCGTGCAATGACCAAGTTGAGTCTTACAAGGTGAAATTTAATGGTGTCTATAATCCCCACTGTTCCAGCTATTCAGAAGTCCCTCTCTGTTTGATGCTTAATAATAATACCGCAAGCAGTTACCATTTCCCAAACTGTCTGTGTGTACCGGACCCCTAGGAGACATTAGTTCCTTTAGTCCTCACAACAGCTCCCTGAGTTTCATACCCCCAGAGCAGAGCTCATAGAGGCCACGGGCATAGACTCTGAAGCAGGGCTGTCCAACAGGACTTTCTGCAATGATGAGAATGTTCCAGATCTACAGTGTCCAACTCCGTACCCAACAGCCACATTGGCTACTGAGCACATGAGATGCATGCCTGAGAAAATGAATTTTAAATTGTATTTAATTTTAATTAATTTAAACTTAAATGGCCTCCAAATCTAAATCCCAGCTCTGTCACTTACTGAGTGGGCTTGGGCAAAGTACTGCACCTCACTAGCCTGGCTTTCCTTTCTGTTAAATGTTATGAACTGAATTGTGTCCCCTCCCCGCAAATTCATATGTAAAAGCCCTAACCCCCAGTACTTTTTTTTTTTTTTGAGACAAAGTCTTGCTCTGTCGCCCAGGTTGGAGTGCAGTGGCACGATCTCAGCTCACAGCAACCTCCTGGGTTCACACAATTCTCCTGCCTCAGCCTCCAAAGCAGCTGGGACTACAGGCATGCACCACCAGGCCCGGTTAATTTTTGTATTTTCAGGAGAGACAGGGTTTCACCATGTTGGCCAGGCTCGTCTTGAACTCCTGGCCTCAGGTGATCCGCCTGCCTCCCAAAGTGCTGAGATTACAGGCATGAGCCACCGCACCTGCCCACCCCCTGCCCAACCCAGTACTTTAGAAAGTGATTATTTTTTGGAGATAGGGCCTTTAAAGAGATAATTAAGATTACAGCAATTAAGGTGATTAAGGTTTACAAGGTCATTAAGTAGTGATGATAAAGGAGGTCATGAGAAAGGGGAGGTCATGACATCAGTACAATAGGACCAGTGTCCTTATAAGAAAAGGAAGAGATGCCAGGGGTACACATGCACAGGACAACTATGTGAGGATGCAGGAAGAAGGTGGCCATCTGCAAGCCAAGGAGAGAGGCCTCAGGAAAAACCAACCCTGCTGGCACCTTGACCTTGGACTTCCAGCTTCCAGAACTTTGAGAAAATAAATTTCTGTTGTTTAAGCCACCCAGTGTGTGGTATTTTGTTATGGCAGCCCCAGCAAGCTAATACAGTAAGATAAGAATTATAAGGATTGGCCAAGCGTTGTGGTTCGCACCTGTAATCCCAGCACTTTGGCAAGCTGAGATCAGAGGATTGCTTGAGGCCAGGAGTTCGAGACCAGCCTGAGCAATATAGTGAGACTCCCTTGTCTTTACAAAAAAATTAGCCAGATGTGGTGACATGTGGCATGCACCTGTAGTCCCAGCTACTCAGGAGGCTGAGTCAGGAGGATTGCTTGAGCCCAGGACTTCAAGGCTGCAGTGAGCTATGATTGTGCCACTGAACTCCAGCCTGGATGACAGAGCAAGATCCTATCTTTAAAAAAAAGAAAAAGTATAAGAACTTACTTCCAGGGATTGTTGTGAGAGTTAATTAACAGATATGCAAAGCACATGGCATAGTGCCCAGCACCTAGTAAGTGATCACTAATAGTCACTAATGTTATTATCATTACTGATGAGCAGGCTGAGCTCAAAGCAGAAGGAACTTGCCAAGGCCACAGAGCCAGGAAATAGGAGAACTAGGTCTCAAACTCGGTTCTATCTGATGCCAGGGACACTGTTCTGCTCTGCTACCTTCCTTCCTTCTTCCCTACCTGTAATAGGAGACCCCTAATCCCTATTTGGAGCAGATAGATGGCACACAGTGGGAAGAGCACCAACCCACTGCCACCTTCCAAGTCTGTCTCTTCCCAGTAAGGAATCTTAGCACATGGATTCCAGGTATTATTCTGGGCCTAGATAAAAAAACTAAATGTCCTATCATGGAAGTCTCTTAAGGAGCACCAGAAGACAGGAATGGAAACATTCACTGGCTTAAACACCTGGTTCCTTGGCATTCCCAGAGATGAAGCTAATGTCCTATTGATGCAGGACAGGTGAGCCCCAAAACTGGGGCTTAGCCCAGGAGGGTTCTTGGCTTCACCCAGGAAAGAATTCAAGGGCTAGCCAGTGGTGTTAGATAGCGACTTTTATTGAAGCAGCAGTGTACAGCAGCAGCAGAGGTCCTGCTCCTTGCAGAAGAGGGCTACCTCACAGGCAGTATGCCCAGAGTAGCAACTCAAGGGCAGTTCTGCATTCATGTTTATGCCCATTTTTAATTATATGCAAATTAAGGGGCAGATTATGCAGAAATTTTTAGAAAAAGAGGGGTAACTTCTGGGTTGTTGGGTCATTGCCTTAGAAAGGGGTGGTAACTTCCAGGTGTTGCCGTGGCAATGGCACAGGTGGGCGTGTCTTATGGAAAGGTGCTTTTGCCTCTTCCCTGTTTCAGCTATCCTTCAATCTGGTCCAGAGTCGGAGTCTGCCTCCAGCAACCAGTCCCACTTCCTACCTCACTACTGACTCCAGAGAGTGCCCGAACCTCTGGCTGTCTCATCTTGGCCAGTCAAGTTAGACACAACCACGCCTGTTTCTGTCAGGAATGCTTGAGTCCACCACATAACCAATTCCACTGCAAAAGCTGGGGTTGATTTCTGGCCAGGAGCCCCCAAAGATGTCTTATCCTCAGTTAACCTAAACACACTGTTTGGGCAACTCATACACAAAAATACTACCAAGAGAAACGAGGCATCTGACGAAACCAGATTACTTCTTTATTTTTTTTTTATTTTTTATTTTTTGGAAATGGATTCTTACTCTGTCACCAGGTTTGGATTGCAGTGGTGTGATCTCGGCTCACCACAACCTCCACCTCCCAGGTTAAAGCAATCCTCCCACCTCAGCCTCCCGAGTAGCTGGAATTACAGGCATGCACCACCATGCCTGATTAATTTTTGTATTTTTAGTAGAGACAGGATTTCACCATGTTGGCCAGGCTGGTCTCTAACTCCTGATCTCAAGTGATCCTCCCACCTCATCCTCCCAAAGTGCTGGGATTACAGGTGTGACCCACCACACCCAGCCAAAACCAGACTGCTTCTCGCCATCACATAAGGCCATTCCTGAGAAGGAAATAAGGAGCCCGTCCTCAAATGCCACATAGCCTCTCCTCTCTGAGGGGGGGAACATTAGCACCTCCCAGGAAATCAAGCTTTAGACTAACACAATTCAGCAGGACAGCCAATATGATCGTTGGAGCTGAAGAACTTTTCATCTGATGTGCCTCAATAATCAAGAAAGTCATTGGGTGCAGACAGGAATTCCGTCCCCACCCTGCCATGAAGAATCTCGGCCTCCATTTTTTTAACTGGCAAAGACAAATTGTATATATTTATGATGTACACCATGATGTTCTTAAATATGTATACATTGTGGAACACTAAATCAAACTATTTAACATAAGCATTACCATACATACTGATATGGTTTGGCTCTGTATCCCCACCCAAATCTCATGTCTAATTGTAATTCCCAATGTTGGGGGAGGTACCTGGTGGAAGGGGATTCGGTCATGGGGCAGGATTTCCCCTTGCTGTTCTCGTGACAGTGAATGAGTTCTCACGTCTGGTTGTTTGACAGAGTGTAGCATTTCCCCCTTCACTCTCTGTCTCCTGCTCCACCGTGGAAAGACATGCTTGCTTCCCCTTTGCCTTCTGCCATGACTGTAAGTTTCCCAAGGCCTCCCAGCCATGCTTCCTATACAACCTGCAGAACTGTGAGACAATTAAACCTCCTTTCTTCATAAATTACCCAGTCTCAAGTAGTTCTTTATAGCAGTGGAAGAACAGACTAATACACATATTTTTTTTTGTGGTGAGAACACTTAATATCTACTCTCTGAGCAATTTTCAAGTACACAATACATTGTTATTAACTATGGTCACCATGTTGGACAATAGTTCTCTTGAACTTATACCTTCTTGGCCTCCATGTTCTAGTTTCTAAAATGAGAGTGTTACATTAACAGGATACCTAAGTTCCCTCCCAGTGCTAAAACGTTAAGTACAGAAGAAGAGAATTATATAGTAATCCCTAAAAGTATTTTAAACCACTATTAGAATTTCCTTTTATACAATAATGATGCAATAGGAAAATGAGTGTAATTCTGTCTTTCATTGTAATAGCCTAATTAAAAAGAAAACAACACTGAATGTAACAAAATTAACTGCTCTGGGTTTGGTGGGCAGGATGAACAAACACAGTGAGAAGGGGTGAAGGGTAAAGGCGCTCTCTCTGATCACAATGAGACGACAACGGTGGCTCCATCCATCATCGTGCAGGGGCTCAGAGAAGTGAGAGGAGCCCCAGGGCCAAGGGCTTAAACTTTCTGAGCTTTGAATCACTTGGGCAAACCACTCATCCTCCTTGCCTCCCAAAAACTGCTTCTCCACAACCATGAAAACTTCAGCGCTACCATGGATTTAAAAAAAAAAAAATAGGGGGCCAGGCACAGTGGCTCACACCTGTAGTGCCAGCACTTTGGGAGGCCGAGGTAGAAGGATCACTTGAGGCCAGGAGTTCAAGATCAGCCTGGGCAACTGAGCAAGATCCCATCTCTACAAAATATTGAAAAATTAGCTGAGCATGGTTGTGCACTGCTATAGTCCCAGATACTTGGGAGGCTGAGGTGGGAGGATTGTTCAAGCCTGGGAGGTGAAGGCTTTTGTGAGCTATGATCACACCACTATACTCTAGCTCAGATGACAGAGCAAGACCCTGTCTCAAAAAAAAAAATTATAAAAGATCCTTCCACCTAGTAATGTTTAATACTGAGTAGCTGGCAACACTTGTCTGGGTATCAAGAGTGACTTGAGATAGGTAGGGGGGTGGGCAGAGTTTGGGGGTCCTGAGATAACAGGACCAGTGCTCTGAGGCAGTGCCCTGGGAAGGACTGACAGCCTGGCACCCCCACAATGTGCCCCTGAACAAGGGATTTCAGCCTGGACAAAGGGGCCCGTGCCCCAGGCAGCAAAAAGAAACAGCTGAGGACCACCCTGGTGCCATTTGATTGGAACAGTGGACATTCCAGTGGAACCCAAGTTCAGAGATGGCCAGTGACTAGGGTCTCAGCCCCTCCTTGGCACTGCTGGAGATCCCTTCACCAGGGAAGAAAGCCCCAAAAACCACCAAGGTGGAATTTTCCACTCTACATGGATGGGAGCCTGAAAACAAAACTAGGCTGATTCAAAGAAAATAAAGGCATGCGTTACGTCCAGCACACCTGAGTTTGTGGGCTGTGAGATATTCTCACGCCCATTCTACAGGGGCCCCTTCTGTTCTTTCCTACTTGGTGGCCGGTGGGACTTGCTAAAACTCCTCACTTTTAATATCTTCGTCCTTAAAGCTGGATCTTCTAGAGGGATTGAAGAAGGATAGACCATTCAATCCAATCTTCATTTTTTTTTTTTTTTTTGAGACAGTCTCACTCTGCTGCCCAGGCTAGAGTGCAGTGGTGTGGTCTCAGCTCACTGCAGCCTCCAACTCCTGGGTTCAAGCAATTCTCATGCCTTGGCCTCCCAAGTCGCTGGGATTACAGGTGCCTGCCACCACATCCAGCTAATTTTTTGTATTTTTAGTAGAGACAGGGTTTTGCTATGTTGGCCAGGCCGGTCTCAAACTCCTGACCTCAAGTGATCCGCCCACCTAGGCCTCCCAAAGTGTTGGGATTACAGGCGTGAGCAATTGCACCTGGGTGATCCAATCCTCATTTTACAGAAAAGCAAACTGATGTCTAGAGACTTGGAGCCACTTGCTGGTCTCCCCTGAGCTCAGGTGATCTATCCACCTTGGCCTCCCAAAGTGCTTGGATTACCAGCGTGAGCCACTGCACCCAGCCTTTTTTTTTTTTTTTTTAAGCTGGAGTGCAGTGGTGTGATCTCAGCTCACTGCAGCCTCCACCTCCCAGGTTCAAGCAATTCTTGTGCCTCAGCCTCCCAGGTAGCTGGGACTACAGGTATGCAGCCACCACACCTGGCTAATTTTTTGTATTTTTAGTAGAGACAGGGTTTTGCTATGTTGGCCAGGCCGGTCTCAAACTCCTGACCTCAAGCGATCCACCTGCCTAGGCCTCCCGAAGTGTTGGGATTACAGGCATGAGCAACTGTGCCTGGCTGATCCAATCCTCATTTTACAGAAAAGAAAACTGATGTCTAGAGACTTGGAGCCACTTGCGATGGTCAGCAAGTCGGTGGCTGAGCTAGGACTTGAACCCAGGTCTCGCACTCTACCCTTGAATTCACTTCTTTTTCGGCTTCTACTCTTATCTCCATGGCCACTTATCTCAATGATCCAGTGGGTTTTGCTGGTTGTTACATACTTGCTGTGCACTAGAGCTCTCTCTATGGAACACTTTTGTCCATTCCACAGGGAACGTTTCTAAGATTCTAACGTTTCTAAGGCAGGGGATGTTTCTTTGACGGGAGATTGCAATTGTTGAGCACGTTGTCATGTAAAATAGCTTTCCATGAGCGGACATAGGGAGGAAGACAGAGAAGTTCTTTGCTGTCCCTAATTTCCCCTTGCTTTCTCCATGCTCACTATTAAAGGAAAACACTGGTTTCAAACAGTTTCATGTGTCATCTTACTTCAAGCATGACAGCCCACCTGCACAGGGTGGTTGCACATCCGTGGTCAGTATCCCCGGCCTGCCAAGCGTGCAAGTCCACAGGGTGGCGTCTGTCCTGCTCACGCCTCCTCCTCCTCTCTCTCTCTCTCCATCTCCTCGCCCCATCTCCCTCCTTTTCTCTCTTTGTGCCTGATTTTTTTCTTCTACTCCTGTACTCTTGGCTCAGGGTGGCTCTGCTCTTGCTGCCATCTTGTGGTATTAGAGAGAATTAAATTAGCCTGAGCAGGAAACAGAAAAGTCCTAGAATATGGTTAAGTACCGTTAAAGCCACTGTAATGTGATTAGGGAAGGGAGGTCCATTCTGAATCCTGATGCACATAACCAGGGCATCTTTAAGCACTTGAGTGTTTCCACATCCTGTGCATTCACTACTCACTAGGAGTGAATTATTCTTCTAATTATTCACAAATTATTCACAAATTATTCTTCTAATTTGGCTTCCTACAAATTCAGGGACACTGGATGGGCTCTACCAAATTAACCCACTGTGGTATTTTGCTATGTATTCGAAAGACAGGTCTTCCCTATGGACCTCAAATTTGACCATTACGGATGGATTCACATCTTGGAGTTCTGAAGACAGTCCTATTTTTAAGAATTACCTCCTAAGGTGTTAATAAGGTCCTTAAAAATAAATGGAACAATGTTGTTCACAGATTGGAAGACTTGATGTTAAGACGGCAATACTACCCAAAGCAACACACAGAGTCAATGCAATCCCTGTCAAAATCCCAATCGTATTTTTTGCCAATATGGAAAAACTCATCAGAGTTTCAAGGACTCAGAATAGCCAAAACAATCTTTAAAAAAAAAAAAAAAGTTGCCTGTTCTGATTCCTTGAAATTCTGTATCAAGACTTGATACAGAGCTATAGTACAGTAATCAAAACAATGTGGTACTCACACAAGAACATGTGTGTCTGTGTGTGTGTGTGTATCAATAGAATAGAATTGAGAATCAATAGAATAGAATTGAGAATCAATAGAATAGAATAGAATTGAGAAGCCAGAAATAAGCCCTCACATTTATAGTTAGTTGATTTTCAATAAGGGTGCCAAGACTATTCAATGGGAAAGAATGGTGTCTTCAACAAACGGTGCTGGGAAAACTGAATATTCGCACACCAAAGAATGAATTTGGATCCTTACCATACACCATATACAAAAATTAACTCAAAATCAATCAAAGACCTAAATTTTAAAAGCTAAAACTATCAAATTCTTAGAAGAAAACACAGAGGAAAATCTACATGACCTTGGATTTCTTAATATGACATTAAAAGCCCAGGCAACAACAAAAAAATAGAAATTATTAAGATTACAAAATTTGTACATTAAAGGATACTAGCAAGGCAGGAGATGGGGCTTAGCTCTGGAAGCAGGGCTCAGACACCAGACCAAATTGAGGACTAGCTAAAACAGGTCTGGGGCAGAAGCAGCTTTCCATAAGACACACTCACTAGTGTGCCATGTCAGTTTACCATTACCATGGCAACACTCCAATGTTACTGACCCTTCCCATGGCAATGACCCAACAACCCAGAAGTTACCACCCTCATCCTAGAAATGGCTCCATAAACCGCCCCTTAATTTTCATATAATTAGAAGTGGGTATAAGTTTAACTGAAGAACTGCCTCTGAGCTGCTACTCTGGGCACACTGCCTATGGGGTATCCCTGCTCTGCAAGGAGCAGTACCTCTGCGGCTACTGTACACCACTGCTTCAATAACAGTTGCTGTTTAACACCACCAGCTCATCCTTGAATTCTTTCCTGGGTGATATGGTTTGGCTGTGTCCCCACCCAAATCTCATCTTGAATTGTAACTCCCACAATTCTCACATGTTGTGGGAGGGACCCAGTGGGAGGTAATTGAATCATGGGGGCAGGTCTTTCTCATGCTGTTCTCATGTAGTGAACAAGTCTCACAATATCTGATGGTTTTAAAAAGAGGAGCTCCTGGGCCAGGCGCGGTGGCTCACGCCTGTAATCCAGCACTTTGGGAGACTAAGGTGGGTGGATTGCCTGAGGTCAGGAGTTCGAGATCAGCCTGGCCAACATGGTGAAACCCCATCCCTACAAAAAATACAAAAATTAGCCAGGAATGGTAGCACGTGCCTGTAGTCCCAGCTACTCAGGAGGCTGAGGCAGGAGAATGGCATGAACCTGGGATGCAGAGCTTGCAGTGAGCCGAGATCGCACCACTGCACTGCAGCCTGGGCAACAGAGCAAGACTCCATCTCAAAAAAAAAAAAAAAAAGGAGTTCCCCTGCACAAGCTCTCTCTCTTTGCCTGCTGCCATCCACGTAAGATGTGACTTGCTCCTCCTTGCCTTCCATCATGATTGTGAGGCTTCCCCAGCCATGTGGAACTGTGAACGCTCCATTAAACCTCTTTCCTTTGTAAATTGCCCAGTCTTGGGTATGCCTTTATCAGCAGCGTGAAAACAGACAAATACACTGGGCGAAGCCAAGAACCCTCCCGGGCTAAGCCCCAGTTTGGGGGCTTGCCTGTCCTGCATCACTATTAGCATGGAAAAGACAACCCACAAAATGGAATAAAAATATTTGCAAATCATATATTTGATAAGGATTTAATATCCAGAATATATAAAGAAGTATAACTCAACAACAAAAAGACAAAACTGCAACTCAGAAATGGGCAAAAGACTTGGATAGACATTTCTCCAAAGAAAATATGCAAATGGCTAATGAGTTTATGAAAAGATGCCCGATGTCATTAGTCATTAGAGAAATCCAAATCAAAACTGTAATGAGATACCACTTCATACCCATTAGGATGACTTTTTTTTTTTTTTTTGAGATGGAGTCTCACTCTGTTACCCAGGCTGGAGTTCAGTAGTGTGATCTCGACTTACTGCAACCTCTGTCTCCCAGGTTCAAACAATTCTCCTCCTTCAGCCTCCTGAGTAGCTGAGATTACAGGCGTACGCCCCCACACCCAGCTAATTTTTGTGTTTTTAGTAGAGACAGGGTTTCACCATGTTGGCCAGGCTGGTCTTGAACTAATGACCTCAGGTGATCTGCCTGCCTCAGTCTCCCACAGTGTTGGAATTACAGGCATGAGCCACTGTGCCCAGCCAGCTATAATTTCTTAATGAAAAAATAACAGTTGTTGGAGAAGATGAGAAGAAACTGGAACTACTGTACATTGTTGGTGAGAAGTGGAAATGGTGCAGCCACTGTAGACACAGACTGGCCATTCCTCAAAAAGTTAAACATAGAATTTCCATGTGATCCAGCAAATGCACGCCTAGATATAGACCCTAAAAAGTTAAAAACAAGGACTTAAACAGATGTTTGTACACAAATGTTCATAGCATGCTATTCACAATAGCCTAAAGGTGGAAACAACCTAAGTGTCCATTCACAGATGAATGGCTAAACAAAATGTGGCACATAACACAGTGGACTATAATTTAGCCATAGAAATAACGACATTCTGATACAGGCTACAACATGGATGGACCTCAGTACTAAGACACGGTGCTAAGACTGAGTGTGGTGGTGCACACCTGTGATCCCAGCACTTTGGGAGGCCAAGGAAATTCAACAGGATTGCTTGAGCCCAGGAGGACAAGACCGGCCTCAGCAACATGGTGAGACCCTGTCTCTCCAAAATAGACCAAAAAAAAAAAAAGTAACCAGGTATGGTGGTAAGCACCTGTAGTCCCAGCTACTCAGGAGGCTGAGGCAGGAGGATGGGCTGAGCTCAGAAAGTCAAGGCTAGAGTGAGCCGTGATCGTGCCACTGCACTCCAGCCTGGGCAACAAAGCAAGACTCTGTCTCGAAAAAAAAAAGTGCTAATTGAAAGAAGCCAGACACAAAAAAATACTGCATAATTTCAAATTCAGAAATCATACAGACAAAAAGTGGTTACCAGGGCCTGGGGAAAGGAATAATGAGGCATTACTGCATAATGGGTATGAAGTTTATGTTTGAGATAATGAAAAAGTTTTCTAAATAGGTAGAGGCAATGATTACATGGCATTGTGAATGTGATTAATTCCACTGAATTATATGTTAAAAACCAATTAAAATTACAAATCTTATGTTATATATACTTTTACCACCATAAAAACAATAAAAAAATAGAAGTGGGAAAGACCACTTAACTAAACCCACAAGAATGAAAATGTCATAATAAATGGGAGTAAGAGAACAGGCTTGATTGTGGAGCTATCTTGAAAAATAACAGGCTGGGCATAGTGGCTCATGCCTGTAATCCCAGCACTTTGGGAGGCTGAGGCAGGAGGATTGCTTGAGCCCAGAGTTCAACACTGGCCTGGGCAACATGGTGAAACCCCATCTCTACAAACAAAAACAAAAACCTACAAAAATTAGCTAGGCATGGTGGGTCACGCCTGTAGTCACAACTACTCAGGAGGCTGAGGTGGAAGCATTGCTTGAGCCCAGGAAGTCGAGGCTGCAGTGAGTGGTGATCATGTCACTGCACTCCAGCCTGGGTGACACAGTGAGAACTTGTCTCAAAAAAAAAAAAAAAAAAAAGAAAAGGAAAAGAAGCTTATTTTTATGACATTTAACATGTTTTACATTGTTTCAATTAGCATATTTTACATTGTGTTTCAATTAATTAGTAACTCTTAAAACAGAGACAAAATCAGGAGCCACGGTGGCTCAGGCCTATTGTCCTGGCGCATAAGGAGGCAAGGCTAGGCATTCGAGGCCAACCTAGGCAACATAGAAACCTCTCATCTATATAACCGAAAAAGAAAAAAAAAAGAAAACAGAGTCAAAAATCAAGTCTTCATTTTTTTCTCCCAAAAAAAAAAATCATATCCTTCACTTAGAAACACCCAAGCTGAGCACACACATACCTCTACTGCGGCAGGAGGGAGGTTTGAATGCAGTCTAATTCCATGATGGTCTGCTCCCTGGTGAATGATTTTGCATCTTGAGGTCTTTTGTTTCTCTAAGGTCATAAATATACAGGAAACCAAGAAGCCTCTGGCCTCGTAGAAAAAGTGGCTATAGCACCATGAGCAGTAGACAAGGCCAACTCCATGATTTGTGAGGCCCAGTGCAAAAAGAAAATGCAGGACCCCTTGTTGAAAAAGTCTCAAGAGTTTAAAGACTGGCTGGGCACGGTGGCTCACGCCTGTAATCCCAGCACTTTGGAAGGCCAAGGTGGGAGGATCACTTGAGGACAAGAGTTGGAGACCAGCCTGGGCAACATAGTGAGACCCCATCTCTACAAAAAATTTAACAATTTAGGTGGCTGTGGTGACATGAGTCTGTAGTCCCAGCTATTTAGGAGGTCGAGGAGGGAGGCTCGCTTGAGCCCAGGAGATCGAGGGTGCAGTGAGCCATGACTGTACTGCCGCACTCCAGCCTGGGTGATACAGCGAGACTCTGTCTCAAAACAAACAAACAAACAAACAAACAAAAAGTGTTAAGGCTATACCACCAGAGTGTTTAACCAAGGGCACTTCTGACTGAAGGGCTCTGTGTGACACAGTTGGGAAGCTGTCCCTGGCAGTAGCTAAGAACCTAGAGTGTTCAGGTAGAAGTCCAGAAGAAAGAAGAGGTGAGTGAGTGGCCCCCAGGTACCAGTGGGGTTCACATAGCTGAGAGGGACACAATCAACGGATGGACCCAACAGCCATCCCCACGCCTTCTCCCCTGCTGCTTCTCACTGCAGGGGCTGAAAACCTGAGTCTCTTCTCAGAGTCTTTCATAGCTAAAGGGGGCCTTGTGCTGGATCGCGATGCTGACGGATGGGACTGATGGAGAAATCTGCTAGGAGGTTTCAGAGAGTTTTTACTTTCCTGATAAAAGGAACAGCCTCAGCCACCACCACCCGGGTTCCCCTTATTTGCCCTTGATGCAATATCAGGTCTGTAGCTGCGACAGCCATTTAACAAGGACAAGGTGATGTGCATGCGACCCCACACGCTAAGTGTGGCAGTGCAGAAGCACCTGTGTATGTCCTCCATCACACGGTGGGCAGCCCATACAAAGCTAGCACCCGCCCACCTCCAGGTCTGTCTCCTACTGCCACCAAACCCACCTGTCCCCACCCTAACACCACCATCCTCCTTTGGGGCATAAACACCCCAGCCTGCACCCCCACCCAACTGAATTTACCAGGCCCAGGTCAAGCTCCAGCTTAATGCTAACTCATAACTTTTCCTTTTTTTTTTTTTTTTTTTGAGACAGAGTCTCGCTCTGTCGCACAGGCTGGAGTGCAATTGCAATGGCGCAATCTCGGCTCACTGCAACCTCCGCCTTCTGGGTTCAAGCAATTCTCCAGCCTCAGCCTCCCAAGTAGCTGGGATTACAGGCACCTGCCATCATGCCTGGCGTATTTTTAGTAGAGATGGGGTTTCACCATGTTGGCCAGGCTGGTCTCGAACTCCTGACCTCAGGTGATCTATCCACCTTGGCCTCCCAAAGTGCTGGCATTACGGGTGTGAGCCACCGCACCTGGCCCATAACTCTTCTTAAGGGCTCTTGGGAAATCCTGTTGGACTAAATACACTGGGTTACATCCCTATCTTATTTTTCACTCATCCAAAGCAAGCTAGGCTCAGCCCTGGGCATCCTGTCCAAAGCAGAGAGAACAAAAGCAGCTCACTCTTAGAGTGTTCTGTGTGCTCAGCTCGAAGTTTTCATTCATCCTCATTGGATCCTTGCCTATGAGGTAGGTATTTTCATCTCCATCTGACCGAGGGGGAAACTGAGGCTCAGAGCAGCTCTCTAACCCAAGGTCACTGCCCAGGTCTTGATCAGGAAGTATTCCCATGCTCACACCCTGGAATCCTCACTGTATAAGATTTGGGACCTCAACTCCGCTGGACGCTGGGGAGCCTCACTGTCTTCTACCTGCCTCCTCCTGCAGGCAACTAAAGGCTCACAGTCCTCCTGCAGTAAACAGTTCAGAAAGGCCCAGAGCCAAGGCAGAAACTTCATTAGCAAACCACATTTCAGGGGCACTATCGGGCCCTGCTGTTTCAAAGCTGCTCTGAGTCCCAATGTCCCTACTGATGGGCAATGCATGCCCCACTGTCCAGCTTGATTTAGAAGACTGAGATGGCCTCCTCCAGGAAGCCAGCAATGCTGCTCACTGCAGGCTGAGTGAAGAGGGATGGCCAGGGAAAAGAAGGAACCTGCTGCGGGCCCTGATCTGGCCCAGGCGAAGGTGACAAGAGCAGCTGCTATTTACCGAGCACTCACTTCCCTTGTGACAAGACCTGAGATAAGGGCCTCATAGCCCTGAATGCCTCCAAACTGCCCTCTAAGTTGAAGACCATTATTCACATTTTACAAATAGGGAAACTGAGGCCCAGGGAAGTTAAGTCCCTTGCCCAAAGAGCCTGCACAAACAAGCAGCCTGGCAGAATTCTACTCTGGGCCCCCTCAATCTCCAAATTCTCAGCTTTTAATTCTTTAACTCTATGGACTCCCAAAAACCTGGTTTTGGGTAGGACACCCTCTAGCTAAGATGTCACTTCGCACAGAGATAAGGTTATAATGGCCATGGGTAATCAAAAACAAAAATATTGACCAGGCACAGTGGCTCATGCCTGTAATCCCAGTACTTTAGGAGGCGGAGGCAAGCAGATCACTTGAGGCCAGGAGTTTGAGACCAACCTAGCCAACATGATGAAACCGTGTCACTACTAAAAATATAAAAATTAGCTGGGGGTGGTGGGGCACATTTGTAATCCCAGCTACTCAGGAGACTGAGGCAAGAGAATCACTTGAACCTGGGAGGTGGAGGTTGCAGTGAACCGAGATCGCACCACTGCACTCCAGCCTGGGTGACAGAGTGATTCTGTCTCAAAAAAAAGAAGGGAAAGAAAGAAAGAAAGAAAGAAAGAAAGAAAGAAAGAAAGAAAGAAAGAAAGAAAGAGAGAGAGAGAGAGAGAGAGAGAAAGAAAGAAAGAAAGAAAGAAAGAAAGAAAGAAAGAAAGAAAGAAAGAGAAAGAAAGAGAGAGAGAGAAAGAGAGAGAAAGAAAGAAAGAAAGAAAGAGAAAGAAAGAAAGAAGGGAGGGAGGGAGGGAGGAAAGAAAGAAAGAAAGAAAGAAAGAAAGAAAGAAAGAAAGAAAGGAGAAAGAAAGAAAGAGCTGTTCTCCCTTGAATGATAAGAAGCCCCCAAAGTCTTCCCACTGAGCCCTGAAGCCGGGGTGCAGCCCCCCCACCCAGGCTGGGTGCCTCCCATTGCAGTCATGCTGATTTAAGACCCAGAGAAAGACCCTCACCAACGGGGGTTACTTTCAGGACTGCCATAACAAAATACATAGACTGGGTGGCTTAGAAACTACAGAAATGTGGTGCTCATAGTTCCAGAGACTGGCAAATACAAGATCAAGGCGTCTGCAGATTTGGTGTCTGATGAAGGCCTTCTTCCTGGTTCATAGGTAGCTGCCTGGTTCATAGGTAGCTGCCTTCTCTCTGTGTCTTCATATGGCTGAAGGGGTAAGGAAGCTTTCCAGGGATCCTTTTATAAGGGCACTAATCCCATTCATGAAGTCCCCACCTGCATGACTTAATCACCTTCTCACATCACCTCCTCACACCATCACACTGTGGGTTAGGAGTTCAATGTATGAATTTAGGGGTTGAGGAGACATAGACATTCAGTCCACTGCACCAGTGCTGCCCAAAGCCTGGCAGATCTCAGCAAGACTCCTCAGCTGCAGGTTGTTAGGGGCACCCCTCTTGAGCTACAATTAATTCAGGCTGTGTTAAAATAACCTGGGCTAGGTGGCTCACCCCTGTAATCCCAGCACTTTGGGAGGCTGAGGCTGGTGGATCACCTGAGGTCAGGAGTTCAAGACCAGCCTGGCCAATATGGCGAAACCCCATCTCTACTAAAAATACAAAAATTAGCCGAGTGTGATGGTGCACGCCTTTAATCCCAGCTACTTGGGAGGCTGAGGCAGGAGAATGGCTTGGACTCAGGAGGCAGAGACTGCAGTGAGCTGAGATTGCGCCACTGCACTCTGGCCTGGGCAACAGAGTGGGACTCCATCTCAAAAAATAAAATAAAATGAAGATCCCAGTCTAATTACTGTAATACTTCAAAGCAGTGATGAGTAAAAGCAATATATTTTGAGACAGCACCAACAAGTGAAATGTAATAGGAAACTATAGGATTCTATTCATGACACAGTCAGACGCTACTCACACCATTGTGGTTTGTTGCCTATGTTCATAGTAGAAGGAAATGCTGTCTTTCAATTCACAGTTAATGAGAATAAAGATATCACTTTCCCCATCCAAGTTCAAAGGAGTCTGTGATCCCCAGGCTGAGAACCCCAGCCAAGAGATTCTTCGCTATCTTCTAGGCTAGGGTTTTGGGATCTGAATGTGTCAGGGTAATGTCTCCTGGGTCCGCCAAATCCTCAATGAATCACCCAGTTCTACCCCCATCCTTCTTTCTCAAGGGTCATCTCCCATCTCAAGATAATCCAGATACAGCCCTTCTACTCTCTGCATCTATGAATTTGACTCTTAGATTTCGCTTACTAGTGAGATCCTGCAGTGTTTTTCTTTTTGTGTTTGGCTTATTTCACTTAGCATAATGTCCTCCAAGTTCATCAAGGTTGTTGTAAATGGCAGAGTTTCCCTTTTTGGAAGGCTGAATAATCTTTGTGTATATACCACGGTTTCGTTATCCATCGTCTGCCATGAACACCTGGGTTGTTTCCGTATCTTGGTTATTGTGAATAATGATGGAATGAGCATTGGAGTGCAGCTGTCTCTAGATATCCAGATTTAGTTTCTCACCCTGAATGTTGAAACCTTAATCTCCTGCAGGGTTTATCCCAGGACCACACCCAGGATTGTCCTAGGCAAGTTCCTGTTCAAGCTTCGAGTTAGTCATCACTTCCTCCCTGAGGCCTCCCTGACTCCATGGTTTGCATTAGTGATTCCTCTGTCCCAGGCTCCACCTCCCCAACCCAGCACTGACCACCTCATCCCTGCCTCCACTGACCTAGTTCCTGGGCTGGAACTGGAGTGAGACTGACATGTGACTTTGGGAGTTAAGGCAATGGAGAGCTGGTGTTGTGAAATGGAGCAGCCCCACCGCTCTCTTGCCCTGCCACAGTGACCCCGAGGCCACGTGCTCTCTCTGGGGAAGGGCTGCCCTCCTCCTTAGAAGAGCGAGAAGCAAGCCTTGATTGTGTTTCGCCACTGCAAGTCCAGGGTTTGTCTGTTGTGGCAGCTGGCATTAAACGCCCTGGCACACTCAGACCTCAAAGCCCAAGCCTAGAAGACAGTGAAGCAACCTGGTAGATGGTAAATGATGAAATATTCTGCTTTTAATAATTTTTTTTGAGACAGAGTCTGGCTCTGTCACCCGGCTAGAGTGTAGTGGTGAGATCTCGGCTCACTGCAACCTCCACCCCCCCCGGGCTCAAGCAATTCTCATGCCTCAGCCTCCCAAGTAGCTGGGACTACAGACGTGCACCACCACACCTGGCTAATTTTTTTATTTTTAGTAAAGACTGGGTTTCACCATGTTGCTCAGGCTGGTCTCGAACTCCTGACCTCAAGTGATCCACCCACCTTGGCCTCCCAAAGTGCTGGGATTACAGGAGTAAGCCACAGCACGCGGCCAATAATGTTTTTGTTTAATTTTTTTTAAGCTAGCTAACATTAACTGAGGTCATTCTGAATTAGGTATTGTTCTAAGAACGCAACAGTCATGAAGTCATTTAATCCTCACACCCTATACCTATGGGACTGGTACCTATTATCTCACTCTCATTTACAGATGAGAAAACAGAGGCACAGAGAGGTGCAGTAACTTATCCAAGGTCACACAGCCACAAAGCATTGAAGCCAGGATTTCAACCCAGACAGTCAGACTCTGGGGCCCACATGCTCACTTCTTAACTAAGAATGGCGGCTGGGCACAATGGCTCATGCCTGTAATCCCAGAAGTTTGGGAGGCTGAGGTGGGCGGATCGCGAGGTCAGGAGATCGAGACCATCATGGCCAACATGGTGAAACCCCGTCTCTACTAAAAATACAAAAATTAGCTGGGTGTGGTGGTGTATGCCTGTAATCCCAGCTATTCTGGAGGCTGAGGTGGGAGAATCGCTTGAATCCGGGAGGCAGAGGTTGCAGTGAGCTGAGATCACGCCACTACACTTCAGCCTGGGTGACATAGCAAGACTGTCTCAAAAAAAAAAAAAAAAAAAAAAGGGCAAGTGCAGGATTCACTAAAATGCTGCCACTGAGGCATGCAACCTCAGACAGAGTTGGTCAATGACTGCAGCCCTGGTGAAGCGGGTGGGGGATTTGGGAGCAAAGGAGCAATGAAGAGGCTCAGAAGGTCTCAGCCAGTCCTCAGCCAGGTAGCCGTGATAGGCTGAATAAGGGCCCCCAAAGATGCGCACATCCTCATCCCCACACCTACACATACGGCAAAGGGGCCTTGCAGATGTGACTAAGGGTCTTGAGATGAGAGATGATCCTGGATGATCCAAGTAAGCCCAGTGTCATCACAAGGGTCTTTATAAGAGGGAGGGTCCTTCTAAGAGGAAGCAGAAGATCAGAGTGAAGAAAAAAGTGACAGCGGAAGCAGGGAAAGGGACTGGAGGGTGCTGCTGGCTGTGAAGATGAAGGTGGGGCCCTGCGCCAAGGAATAAGGGAACTGGAGCAGCCTCTAGGAGCTGGAAGAAGGCAAGGAAAAGGATTCCCCCCGAACCCTCCAGAATGAACCCAGCACCTTGACTTTAGGGCTTCTGGCCTCCGGAAATGTGGGGTAACACACCTGTGCTGTTCTAAGCTGCAAGGTTTGGTCATGTGTTCCATCGGCAAGACGAGACTCATGTGGTGACCTTGGGCAAGGCCTTTTGACTTTCTCACCTCCATTGCCTGGCTATAAAATGAGGAGAGTTGGCCATGCGCGGTGGCTCAAACCTGTAATCCCAGCACTTTGGGAGGCCATGGCGGGTGGATCACTTAAGACCAGGAGTTCAAAACCAGCCTGGCCAACATGGTGAAACCCCATCTCTACTAAAAATACAAAATTAGCCAGGCGTGGTGGCATGTGCCTGTAACGCCAGTTACTCAGGAGGCTGAAGCAGGAGAATCGCTTGAACTCAGGAGGCAGAGATTGCAGTGAGCCAAAACTGCGCCACTGCACTCCAGCCTGGGTGACAGAGCAAGACTCTATCTCAAAAAAAAAAAGAAAAAAGAAGAAAAAAATGAGGAGAGTGGTCCCTGCCTCCCTTGCCTGTGGGGAGACTTAAACAAGTTAATAAATATGTAAAGGTTTGGAAAGTGTGCTATAAAAGAGAATTGAATTTTTAAGTCCATTTCCGCATATCCTTGACCTCTTTCTGGGTGTTAGCTTTGGGACGAAGAGCCCTCCCTGCTTCCTCTCTTCCCCCACCCGCGCCATGCTGGGAAATCTACTGGTGTGTCCTCTGTGGTGTCCCCCTGCAGACTTAGCTTCTAGGTGGACGACAGATGGCTGGCCAGGTGTCAGCCACTTGGCTGGAGGCCAGGCTGGGAGGCCGTGAGACAGGATCAGATTGTCACAACCCAGAGGACAGCAGCTGGTGACGGCCACTTCCTCCACTGCCACTGGGTCACCCCACCTACCTAATAAGGTGAAGTCCCCCAGATAGCCTGTTCATCTTCAAGGGCGCTGGGCAAACCAACCATTAGCCTGACACTAAGAAGACCCAAGTCAACCCTCCACGAGTGCCTTCCTCTATGGGACCTTCATCTCTACTAAGGTTCAGGCGTCCATTTGCTCCCTCCCCAAATATTTAAACAGCATTAATTATGCACCAACACTGTTGGTTGCCTACCTAGCAGTCATTCCTCCTTTTTACCTTGCCCCCCAAATTCCACCCAGTCCCAGGGGATGTCTTGCTTGGTCTAAGCCAATCCTGGCATCCTGTGCCTCCTTGCCAGTGCACGGTCAGGAGGGACATGTGACCCAGTCTGGCCAATTAAACATAAAGAGAATTCTGCTAAGAGATTCTAGGAAGACTGTCTTTCTATTAAGAGAGAGATGCAGCCAGGCTTATACCTGTAATCCCAACGCTTTGGGAGGTCAAGGCAGGAGGATTGCTTGAGGCCAGAAGTTCCAGACCAGCCTGAGCAATATAGCCACACCCCATCTCTACAAACAAACAAAAAAATTAATTAGCTGGATGTGACGGTGCATGCCTGTAGGTCCCAGCTACTTGGGAGGCTGAGACAGGAGGATCGCTTGAACCTAGGAACTGGAGGCTGCAGTGAGCTATAATGATGCCACTGTACTCCAGCATGGACAACAGAATGAGGCCCTGTCTCTAAAGAGAAAGAGAGAGAGAGAGAGAGAGAGAGAGATGGGTCAGGAAACGAAAAGACCTTTTCAATCTTCCTTCTTCCCTTTTGCTCTGGATGCTGCTGTTTGAGGTTGTGATTTCTGGAGCTTCAGCAGCCATCTTGTGACCTTGAGATGACAATGCTAATTCTGAAATATCAACATGTCAGGGATGGAAAGCAGAAGAACTTTGATGGCTGGGATGGTTAGTTTTAAAAGTCAACTCGGATAGGCTGTAGGGCCCAGATGTTTGGTAATCATCAGTCTAGACGTTGGTGTAAAGGTATTTTTAGATATGAAACAGTAGAGTTTGAGTACAGCGATTATCCTCCATAGCATGGGTGGGTTCAGCCAATGAGTTAAAGCCTTAGGAGAAAAAGACCAAGGTCCCCGCAGGGAGAAGAAATTATCTCTCCAGACTGCTTATGACTCAAGCTGAAGCATCAGCTCTTCCCTGGGTCTCCAGCCTGTCCTGCAGATTTGGACTTGCCAGCCTCTGAAATCATGTAATTCAATTCCTAGAGAGGAGGGAGGGAGAGAGGGAGGGAGAAAGGAAGGAAGGAAGAAAGGGAGGGAAGAGAAGGGAATGGAAGGGAAGGGAAGGGAAGGGAAGGGAAGGGAAGGGAAGGGAGGGAGTGTGGGAAAAAGAAAAGAAGGAAAGAAGGAGGGAAGGAGGGAGGGAGGAAGGAAGGAAAGGAAGGGAAGGGAGGGAGTGTGGGAAAAAGAAAGGAAAGAAGGAGGGAAGGAGGGAGGGAGGAAGGAAGGGAAGGGAAGGGAGGGAGGGAAGGATGGAGGGGGGAAAAGGAAGGAGGAGGGGGAGTGGGGGAAGGAGGGAGGAAGGAAAGAAGGAAAGGGGAAAGAGGAAGAAAGGAAAGAATGGAGGAAGCAAGGGAGGGAGAAAGGAAAGAAGAAAGGAGGAAGAAGGAAGGAAGGAAGGAAGCTACAGAGAGAGAGAGATACACATTTTATTGGTTCTGATTCTCTGGAAAACCCTGACCCATATAATGGCTTTGGGATGGGATGGCGGGGGGATGCTCCTGACCTAAGGACTCCTCATGAAGAATAAGAGTGTCCTCATGGTCTAAGCCTCTCTAAGTTGGGTTTTCTGTTATTTGCAGCCCAAGCATCCTGGTTAGTGCACCTGCTCTATCATTTCTATTGCTGCTTGAAAAGCCACCCCAAAACTAAGTGACTAAAGGCAACAACCAGGTATTATCTCTCATAAATCTACAGGTCAGCCAAGCAGGTGTGCCAGTCTTAGCTGGGCTCACTTATGCCTCTGCCTCGACAGGCATGTTGGTTGAGATAGATGGTCTAGCACCATCTATGTGCTAGGCATGATCCTGGATTTTTTATTTATTTATTTTGCTATCAATAAAGGACACTATTGGGACAATTGGCAAAATACAAATAACAGCTATAGATTAGGTCATTGTATTTTGATTACCTGATTGTGATCATTGTACTGTGGTCAGGTAAAAGAATTTCCTTATATTAGGGAATACATATATTGAAGCACTAGGGGGTATAGTGGTATAGTGTATGCAGTTCATCCTCAAATGTTTCAGAAAATTTTATATATCCATGTATTGTGTTTGTGTGTGTGTGTGTGTGTGTGTGTGTGTATACAGAGAGAGAGAGAGAAAAGAAGCAGGAGGAGGAGGAAGAAGAAGAGGAGGAGGAAGAAGAGGAGGAGGAGAAGGGGGAGGAGGAGGAAGAGGAAGAAATCAAATATAAGGTTAACATTTGAGGAATCCAGGTGAAAGGTATAAAGAATTTATTGTACTCTTTGTAAGTTCTCTATAAGCTCCCAAATTAATTTAAAATAAAATTTTTAACAAAAAAAAAAAAAAAAAGGAAAGGAGCCAGGGTTCAAACTTGATTTGGGGCTTTCCGTAGGAGACCAGGGTTACACACTGACTCCTAGGGTCCCAGAGTTCATCTCAGGTCAATCTGAGGCTCTCTCAAACTCAACTAAAACATCCTCAACAAAAACAGCATGAGGATGAAGCCCTTTAGCCAGGAGAATTATGGCGGTGATGCTTTCACTGAAGCAAAGGTTGTCGCCCTCATTTTTACTTTGGGGGAATTTAGATTTTGGTAGGTAGGATTTTCTTTAGCCATCAGTGCCCATAGGAAGGCAGAATAGGATATTGGGTTAGAATCCTGGTTGTACCATTTAGTTGCCATATGACTTTGAACAAACAAATTGAGTTTTCCATGTCTCGGTTTCCTCATCTGTAAAATGAAGAACTTAATAGTAGACATCACATAGGGTTGTTATGGATTAAATCCATTAAAATGTCTGTAAGGAGCTGGGGACAGTGCCAGTCACAGGAGTAATGCTCTGTAATTGCTACTTGTCATCATCACCACCATCATCACCAAGATTAATAGGATTTCCATTAGGATTCTTGACTTTAGAGTCAAGAAATCCAACTTGGAGCCAGTGATGCATGCAGCACTTACTCATTGGTGACACTGAGTTAGTTACTTGTCCCATCAAACCACAGTGTCCTTATCTGTAAAATGGGAATGATACTAACCACTGGGCATGTGACATATTCAGCCTGGTGTTGGGCACACAGGAGGCCTCATTGGTGGCTGGGAGAAAAACTACCTGGAAAACCCACTCAGATGGCTACTATTATTTTAATAAAAGAAAAGAAAGAAAATAACAAGTGTTGGTGAGGATGTAGAAACATTGGAACCCTGTGTACTCTCGGTGGGCCTGTAAAATGCTCTGGGAACAGTATGACAGTTCCTCAAAAATTAAAAATAGAATTACTATATTGTATTCACTCTGGCTGCCATAAGAAAATATCAGGCCGGGTGTGGTGGCTCACACCTGTAATCCCGGCACTTTGGGGGGCCAAGGTGAGTGGATCACCTGAGGTGAGGAGTTCAAGACCAGCCTGGCCAACATGGCAAAACCCTATCTCTACTAAAAATACAAAAAATTAGCCGGGCGTGTTGGCGTGCACCCGTAGTCCCAGCTACCTGATAGGCTGAGGTAGGAGAATCGCTTGAACCCGGGGGGTGGAGGTTGCAGTGAACCAAGGTTGCACCACTTCACTCCAGCCTGGGAGACAAAGCAAGGCTGTCAAAAAATAAAGAAAGAAAGAGAGAGAGGGAGGGAGGGAGGGAGGGAGGAAGGAAGGAAGGAAGGAAGGAAGGAAGGAAGGAAGGAAGGAGAAAGAAGGACAGAGAGAGAAAGAAAGAAAGAAAGAAAGAAAGAAAGAAAGAAAGAAAGAAAGAAAGAAAGAAAAGAAAAGAAAAGAGAAAAGAAAATATCATAGACTGGTGGCTTAAACAACAGAAATTTACTTCCGACAGTTCTGGAGGCTGGAAGTTTGGGATCAGGGTGCCAGCATGGTCTGGTTCTTGTGAGACCCCCATCCCTGGCTTACAGGCTGCTGTCTTCTTGATACTCCCTCACACAGCCATTCCTCATTGCCTGTATGCACAGGGAAGGAGAAAGAGAGATCCCTGTCTCTCCTCTTCTTATAAGGCTACCCATTTTTATCAAGTTAGTACTCCATCCTTATGACCCCTTTTGATTTTTTTTTCTTTTGAAAAGGAGTCTCACTCTGTCACCCAGGCTGGAGTGCAGTGGCGCGATCTTGGCTCACTGCAACCTCTCTCTCCAGGGTTCAAGGGATTCTCTTGCCTCAGCCTCCGGAGAAGCTGGCACTACAGGAGCGTGCCACCACACCTGGCTAATTTTTGTATTTTTAGTAGAGACGAGGTTTCACCATGTTGGTCCAGCCTGGTCTCGAATCCTGACCTCAAGTGATCTATCCATCTCTGCCTCCCAAAGTGCTGAGATTACAGGCGTGAGCCACAGCGCCCAGCCCCTTATGATCTTAATTACCTCCTAAAAGCCCTATCTCCAAATACAGTCACATTGCAGGTGAGGGCTTCAACATATGAAAAGGGGAGCGGGGAGTTCAGTCTAGCACATATGATCCAGCAATCTCGCTTCTGGGGATACACCCAAAAGAAGTGACAACAAAGTCTGGAAGAGATATTTGTACACCCATACTCATAACAGCTCTATTCACAATGACCAACAGGTAGAAGCAACTCAAGGGTCCACTGACAGATGAACAGATAACAAATAGATAACAAAATGTGGTCTATACCTACAGTGGAATATGCTTCGCCCTAAATAGGAAGAGAATCCCGACACAGCTACAACATGGGGAAACCTTGAGGACATTACGCTCAGTGAAATAAGCCAGGCACAAAAAGGCAAACACTGCATGCTTCCACTTATAGGAGGTACTGGACTAGTCAAGTTCTTAGAGACAGAAAGTAGAACAGTGGGTGCTACAGCCTGGAGGGAGGGGAAAATGGGAAAATTCTTGTTTAAAGGGTACAGTTTCAGTTTTGCAAGATGAAAAAGTACAGAAATCGGTTGTAAGACAATGTGTATATGCTTAACACTTAGCTTAGATAGAATTGAGATGGTAAATTTTATGGTATGCATGTTTACTGCAACAAAAAAATTAAAAATAAATTATCTGGAAATGTCTCCAGCATTAGAACGAGGGACCAAAATAGACCACTAGGGGGCGTTCTATACACACGCTCCCATTTCATTTCCCGGCCCTGCCTGCTGGACTCAGGCGGTTGATTTGTACAGGGAGGAAAAGGTCTAGGGTTCCTCTCTCTTTTCTGCTCCCCCCACCCTTCCCCAAATGAACCAGCTCTGCATAAGCAACACACACACACACACACACACACACACACACACAAACACACCTCCCCCCAACTCCCTCTCTTAGTCCCCTAGCCACACTAAACTTCCACCACACCCCAGGCCACACTAACTCTAAACCCCGTTCTTTCTCTGGGTTCCTTCTCTCCACGTTGGAGACACAGCGAATTCCAGATTGAGTGTTCCCACTTCGCCTGGCTGCTCATAGGCCTTCTCGATGGCCCAGGAGCTGGGGAAGAGAGGACAGGAGGCAAGGACCCACCCACCCACACTATAAAGGAGAGAAACTGTGGTCCCCAAAGACAAAGGGACACCACAATGGAAATAGATCAGACACCTCATATCCCAGGTGCAAGAGCTCCGAGGTCAGCCAGACCTGGGGTTTTCAGGCTCAAATACTCACTGTGTATGCCACAACCTCTACTGCCTCAGTTTCCCCACCTGTAAAATCTGTAATAATGCCTGTCAGAGTTGTTGGGAGGATTAAAAGAGCATAATAAGGTGGCTCAGGGTTGTAATCCCAGCACTTTGGGATGCCGAGGTGGATCACTTAAGGTCAGGAGTTTGAGAACAGCCTGGCCAACATGGTGAAACCCTGTCTCTACTAAACATACAAAAATTAGCCAGGCATGGTGGCTCATGCCTGTAATCCCAGCTACTTGGGAGGCTGAGGCAAGAGAATCACTTGAACCTGGGTGGAGGAAGTTGCAGTGAGCTGAGATCATGCCACTGCACTCCAGTCTGAGTGACAGAGCGAGACCCTGTCTCAAAAGAAAAGAAGAGTGTAATAAAATCCCTGTACCTAGAAATCACTCCATGAATGGGCTAACTGCTATTCCATACCCCTTAGCCGATGCCGCCTGGGTCCCCTTCCATCTCCCAGGGGCTTCTGCTGTGCGAGCACCAACCCTCCAGTTTGCAGTTTCTCTTAAGAAATCTTTCTTGAAGAAACTCACACCATGATCTTCTGGCCACAGGGCCAGTGATTTCACCAGGTAGGACTCACTGGCTTACAAGTAATAGAAACCCCATTAAACCACCTCAAGGAAACTGGGGTGCCTCATGGAACCTAAGGAAAAGTTGAATAGCCAGTCGCTGGGAAGAACCCCTTGGGAAACGCAGGAAACATTCTCCCTCTCTTCTCCCCCGTGTCTCCATCTCTCTCCCTCCCTACGCCTGCTTCTCACATGGCTGCACTCACTTCCTCCAGCCCACTGACCTCCCTGCCATTCCTACAGCATGTCAAGCACCCTGCCACCTAGCGGCCTTCGTACCTGCTGTGCCCTCTACCCAGTACCCTCTTCCTCAGATCTCCCCTTATTCGCTACTCTCCTTCAAGTCATGGCTCAGATGTCACCTGGGTAGTACCTTCCCTGACAAGCTGATTAAAGTTGCAACCCCAGTCTGGACAACATGGCCAAACCCCGTCTCTACAAAATATACAAAAATTAGCCAGGTGTGGTGGTGCACACCTGTAGTCCTAGCTACTTGGGAGGCTGAGATGGAAGGGTCAATTGAGCAAGTGAGGTTGAGGCTGCAGTGAGTTGTGATTGTGCCTCTGCACTCCAGCCTGGGCAACAGAGCAAGACCCTGTCTCAAAAACAGAAAAAACGGCAATCATATCTCCACCCTGAGCACGATCTGGATGATCTAGCCCCTCCCTGCTTACTCGCTTATTTCTTTAATCTTGGTCCACAAAAAAGGGGGTTAATAATGCTCTCATCAGCTTTTAATTAACTGGTTAATTTTAAGAATGGCTGGGCACAGTGGCTCACACCTGTAATCCCGGCACTTTGGGAGGCCAAGGCAGGAGGATCACTTGAGCCCAGGAGTTCAAGACCAGCCTGGGCAACAAAGGGAGACCTTGTCTCTACAAAAATAAAATGAAATAATTAAGTATGGTGGTACATTTCCGTAGCCCCAGCTGAGGCAGGAGAATTGCTTGAGCCCAGGAACTGGAGGCTGCAGAGTGCTGTGATCGCACCACTGCACTGAAACCTGAGCGATCGAGCGAGACCCTGTCTCTTGAAAAAGAAGAAGAATGTAATAAACACCTGTGAAACCACTACCCAAACAAAAGCTAGGATCTTGACAGTGATTTACATCTTACCATATGGCCCCCCAACCTGTGGCGCCACGTTGCCCTCTTAATCCTCATCCTAAATCCTGTATTTATTCTTCCCTTGTTTCCCTTCATACAGTTTATTATCGCATATGTGTGCCCATAATTTTAGTTGCCGTTGACTTTATAAAAAGGGAATCATGTTTATGTAACAGGACATTTTTCATTGAATATTCTATTTCAAAGATCCATCCATATTACGGCGTGTGGCTGTATAGTTCCTTCGTATTGAGTGCTGCGTAATATTTCATCGTGGGAATTAAACCATAATTTATTCATTTGTTCTCTCCAGATGGGCATTTGGGTTATTTCCCAGCTTTGACCACTGTGAACAGAGCTGCTATAAACATCCTTCTATGGGACTCCTGCTGTGAATGGGCAAGAATTTCTCCAAGGTCCATACTCCAGAGTAGAATTGCTGGACCATGGGGTGTATATGTGCTTAACTATCAGAGATAAAGCCGGGCTGTTTTCCAACATGGTTGCACCAAGTCACGTCCCCACCAGTAATGTCTAAGAGGGCTTAATTTTTCTCCACTGCACTTACATTACAAGATGCACTCTATATTTGTGCATTTATTTACTTTTTCTCTCCTGCCACCTAGAAGGTCAGCTTCTAGGAGAGCAAGCGTTTTATGTCTTTTATTCATCATTGTATCTTCAGTGCCTAGAATGGTATCTGGCACATAGCAGGTGCTCAGTAAACATCATCTGATTAGATGAATAAATGGATGGCTCTAAATGGGCCCTAAAAGCTCGCAATATCACATATGATTAGCCCAACTACCTAGAGACAGGTTGACAACCATCTCTCAGTTTTAATCCCTTAAATCCAGGGAAAGAACCATTGGCCAAAGCCTACAAATACCTGGACCCCCCAGCCAACTACATCAGTTTCTGAGGGTGGGGCTTGGACATGGGTAATTTGTATGCACTCTGCAGGAGATTCTCACATGAATCCAGGGTGGGACCCAGTGCTCTGGGGTGGGGAGGGCGTTCATCTCACCATCTCGCCCATAGATGCTCAAGCTGCTTTCAACTCCGGCTGTATGTGAATTTCAGAGCAAGACCCTGGGATGAATCTGTGCTCACCTGGAACCAGCCTCTGCCTGGTGATGGGGAGACACTGCTCCCAGGAACCATGACCTGCACACATGGCCACGAGAGCAGTGCCCACCTTAACCTTGGGCCTGCAGACCCTCCTCGCTAAGCAAAGCCGGCTGTGGATGTCACCCTTCTGAGGCTTCTCCAATTCTACTGCCCATTCTCAGCAGGCAGCAAAAGACCTTTCACCACTCGCACCCCACCAGTGTCCTACAGGCCCAAGGAACACTCTGACTTCCAGGGGCCCCATTTCAGTCCCCAGAGACACCCAAACAGTCCTTCTCACTCTGTTTCCTGTTTTCCACTTAAACTTTTTCTCAACTGCTGAAGGGGAGGTCACAGCTGGTCTGCACAGAAGAATGTAGAGGGCTGGAGAGAAGGGCTCAAAAAAGCCTAACTCACTCGGCTCCACAGGCTGGGGACAGGGGTGGCATGTGTCTCCCAGGGCTCATACCCTAATGCACATGCCCCTAATACGGTCTTCAGTGTTACTCATCTTGTTTTGTGTCCCCTTCCAGACTCTCCTGTACCTAGACCAGGGCTGGACATACAGTAGGTACTCAATAAAGTCTAGTTAATTCCAGGCTCTTTCCAACACAAATCAAATCACATCAAATTTTTAGTAATTCCCATGACTCTTAGAATAAAATTGCAAACCCACACTGGGTCTTATAAGGCCCTGCATGGTAGCTCTGCCTCTTCTGGCCCCAGGCTCACCCCTCTTCTTTCTCAGTGGTTACTTGGTCTCCTTTCTGTTGCTTTAACACACCAAGCGCTTTCCCACCTCTGGGCCTTTGCACATCCCTGTTTCCTCTGATTTAATCATTCCCCCTCCTACCCCACTCAGCCACATTAAGACCTATGAATCCTTCAGGGAGTGGCTGAAACATCAACTCCTCTGAAAAGCCCTCCCTGATTCCTTAGACCTGATAAGACCCCTGTTAGATGTCCTCACGATATCCTGTACTTTTCCCTCATAGTCTTTGCAAAAGTTTGGAATTAGACTTTGTGTGATTCTTGATTCATGTCCGACTTCCTCACTAGACTCTGAGACCCAGGAGGGCAGGGACCATGCTGCTGGTGTCAGCTCTCTATCTCAGCACGTAGCCCAGTGCCTGGCACATAGGAGGGCATCTGGTATTTTTTGGATGAATGGATGGATGGATGGATGGATGAATAAGTGGATAAGAGGAAGGAAGGGGCCGGGTGCGGTGACTCATGCCTGTAATCCCAGCACTTCGGGAGGCCAAGGCAGGTGGATCATGAGGTCAGGAGATCAAGACCATCCTGGCCAACATGGTGAAACCCCATCTCTACTAAAAATATAAAAATTAGCTGGGCGTGGTGGCACGTGCCTCTAATTGCAGCTACTTGGGAGGCTGAGGCAGGAGAATCACTTGAACCAGGGAGTCAGAGGTTTCAGTGAGCTGAGATTGCGCCACTGTGCTCCAGCCTGGTGACAGAGCAAGATTCCATCTTAAAAAAATAAAAATAAAAAGAGGAAGGAAGGAAGGAAGGGAGAGATGGAGGAAGGGAAGCAAGGAAGGTGGGAAATTTCATACATGAATGTATAGATGAATGGATGAATAAATGGATAGATGGATTGATGGATGGATGATGGGTGGGTGGGTGTATGGATGAATGGATGATGGATGAGTGGGTGGATGGGTGAATGACTGGATGGATGGGTGGGTGGGTGGGTGGGTGGGTGGATGGATGGGTGGAATGGATGGATGGAGGATGGGTGGATAGATGAATGGATAGACGGGTGGATGGATAAGTGGATGGTGGATGGCAGAACAAAAAAAATGAGTTGGTCTCTTTCTGCCATCTTTCTGAGCTGCTATAATGGTGCATGTGAACGTCCTGGCCAGTGTTCTCAATAGCATCAACATGCTGAGAAGAGAAGCAAATACCAGGTTGTTTTAGGTTGTGTTCCAAAATCATCATCTAGTTTCTAAGTGTGATGATGAAGTTTAGTTTACATCAGTGAATTTGCAATCATCAATAATCACAGAGCTAGAAAAATCACTGTGGACCTCACAGGCAGGTTAAACAAGTGTACAGTGACAAGCCCCAGTTTGATGTGCAACTCAAAGATCTAGAAAAATGGTACCCCTATCCCCTTTGGTTTCATTGTCCTGACAACCTCAGCTGGTATCAGGGATTGCAAGGAAGCAAGACAAAAATACACAGGAGGGAAAATCCTGGGATTGTTTTTCTAGGGATGTAATAAATTCATATGAATAAAATGCCTCAATGGACCAAAAAAAAAAAAACAGTTCATGATTGATTGCTTTTGCTTTTGTCCTATTGACTTCCCCATTGGTATCTGAGCCATCCCTCCCATGAATTGTGGGCTCCTTGGTGGCCAAATTCCTTCCCTCTCCTTGGAATTCTTTTCTCCCCAAGTTCCCTGGGAGCAGAGTGTTGCATTCCCAGATGTTCCAAACCCAGTTGAGAGGGGCCATTAAGGGCCACTCTGCACCAGATCCTCAGCTGGGTGCCATCCAGTAGTCACTCAACAAACACAGAGGCAGCATGGTGCTATGGGAGGTGCAAAAGCATTTGGGACTCAGACCCTAGCTCTGCCACTTACTCCTTGTGGGAACTTGGGTAAGCTACTTAGCCTTTCTGAGCTTCAGGAGGTTTTTTGTTTCCTTGTGTAAAATGAGGACAACATTACCTTCCTTGTGGGGCAGTTATGAAGAGTAGTAAGTATTATTTAAGTGCCTGGCACATAATAGGCACTCAGTAAATGACACCCTTATGTAATGGGGCACCAGCCACACCACACCAAGATGAATATGATGGCTATCTCACTCTAGCAGGGACAGATTTCATTTAAGAGGCTAATTGTGATACAGGGTGTCATGTCAAGGTATGGGCAAAGGAACACAGAGGAAGATGGGGTGAATTCAGGAAAGGCTTCCTGGAGGAGGTGACATTTAATCAGACCTTAAATAGCATTCGACAGGAAGTCCAGAGACACGAGTTCTTCTTTCCAATTTGCTGCTAAATCACCATGCGACCTTGAGCCAATCTCTTCTCCACTGTGGGATCCCCAGATCCTTCTACAACATAAGCTGGTTGAGCACCTGCTCTGAATCCGTTCAGTCACAGTCTCCTGTGAGAAGAATCTGCTGACAGCCAGAGCCCTTCTTCCCAGACATACAAGACACACAATGCCTAGACACACAAGTTTGCCTGTAATGGGAGAGGGGGACTTCATGGACCCCAGAAGGCCATCCAGGGACCCTAGGCTAAAATCCCAGAACTCAGTGATCCTGTGGGAGTATCGTCAGACTTGGCCCTGCCCTATGCAAAGCCTCTCTCTTTAGTCTACAGCAGGTGAAAGCAAGCAGAATCATTGACCCAATCTGAAAAAGCCCATCCAACACTGGGCTGCAGGTCAGAGCAGGGGCCTGGGGAGGGGAGGTCCCTCCAGCTGGCCGGAGAGCCAGAGCTGGATTCTGGGAAAGCACCCCTGAGCAGCCTGCCCCTGACCCTGCCTAGTGTATCCCCATCTGCCCCGGGGAGGCAGGCGTGGGCTGCTCTGGGCAGGCGCCCAAACAGGCCACTGACCCCCGTCAGCCACCCAGGCTGGAGTTCCCGGACGCATCCTTCATCTTCCCCAATCTAAACACCCCCAGGCCCCAGGTGGTCCACCCCCCTCCCAGCCAATGTGTGTCTCAGCCGCATCCAGCTTGCTGGAGGACAGGGGGACTGGCCATCCCGTTAACACTTGAGCCGCTGCCATTTCCAGCCTTCCCTTCCATCCAACCAATGCTCACCCACCATTTATTGAGCACCAGTTGTTTGCAGGTGGCTGTGAATGACATGGCAGAGGGCCTGCCCTTCTCTTCCTCCAGGATCTCACCTCCTGGCCAGGGTCCCCTCCCCTGGTCCCACCCCTCTCACCTGGAGCAGGTGGGTGCTTTGGGGGAAGTGGGCTCAGGGCTGGGAACTGGGTACTGGCAGGAGATTCAGATCGGGGTTGGTGTCTGGGCATCGCTCTAAGCTTTTGTGATCCTGGGCCTGGCTCTTACTCTCTCTGGCTTCAGTCTCCTCATCTGTACTCTTCAGATTCCACGGTTCCAACTGAGTCTGAATCAGGCCTTGTCAGCACCCTCCCACCCCCAGGAATAGTTAGAGGAGGAAAGGAGGCTAGCTCTGAATGCTTCAAGATCTTTCTTTAGACAGTCTCTGGATCTTATTCATTCATTCAAGCATTTATTGAGCACCTATTCAGTGCCAGGCCCTGGACTGGGAGACTGGAAATAAAGATGACAAAGATTCAAGCCGGTGACTCCTAAACATCCCACTCCCTGCCTCACGCTCTGCTTGGGGTCAGAAGGCCCCTTGGGGTCTCGGGAGGGCCTGGCCGAGGATTTGGGGCGCCCCGAGACTCGCGTGTCAGCGCCGGTGGCGCTCAGGGCCGAGATCTGTCTCCTCCCCTTCCTCCTCCTCCGCCCCCTCCCCTCTCCCTCCCGGAGCACGGCCGAGGCCTCCTCCCACCCGCGAGATCCCGGCGGCCGCCAGCCGGCTCCTGCGTCCGTCCGTCGGCCGGGCAGTCTGTCCACGCGCGGAAAGCTCGGCGCGGCGGCCGAGGGGCCTGGGAGGGAACGGGCGCGGAGGCGGGACCGCGGCTCCCTCCCACTCCGGGGGGAGCCCAGGAGGCGGCGGTGCTGGAGCGCGAGCCGGAGCCGGAGCCGGAGACGAAGAGAGGCGGTGAGAACGCGGGTGCTTAGGGACCCCACCCCCGGCTCCCGCTGGGGGCCCGCGAGCGGCTCGGGGACGTCTGGGCTGGGGAAGCGGGGCTGTTACCCCCAGGGCGGGAGGCAGAGACGATCCAGCTCCTGGCTTCGCCCCCTCCGCGACGCGACCCCCGAGGGGCCCTGGGCCGCGCCTGCAGCGCCGCGCATCCCCGTGCTTCCCGGCGCACCCCAGCGCACCCGGCATCCCCCCGGCAGGGCGAGGGCCCCGGGGGAAGGGAAGGCTCCGGGAGCCAAGGAGGGCGCCCCCCAGGCGGAGAGTCTCGGAAAACCGCGCCCCCGGCCCCTGCCTTCCCTCCAGGCCTGCCCCAAGGGAAAGCGGGCGGGGCGACCCCGTACGCCCCCCTTGCTGTCCCCCTTCGGTTCCCCATTGTTCTCAGCCGAATGCTCTCCTGGGAAGGGGGGAGGGGGTGCTGCGCTCTCCTCTTAAAGGGCCCTCTCCCCTCTTGTCTCCTGGCAGGTCGCGAGCACGAGTGGGGTGGGGCGTGCCCACGGGCCCCCGCCCCCCTCGTCCCCCTCGTCCCCCAGCCCAGCTCCGGAGCCGCAGTCCAGGCGCGCCGCCCGAGGGTCCACGCCGCACCCCTCCCCCGTGCGTTCTGCGGCCACCCAGGCCTTCCAGGACACCGTGGAGAGGGAACAAGGGGGCAGGGACGCCCCCTTCGGCAGGAGCCGTCGGAGAAGGGGGCCCAGACCGGAGGGAGGCGAGAAGCCCCACTGAAGCCGGGCGCAGGGTCTGGGACGCAGTTGGGAGTGCAAAGGGCTGGCTGAGAGCCGCAGGAGCAGCAGGCTGTGGCCCAGGCCTCCTGGGTGACAGGCCCTGTCTGGCGGGGAAGAGGGACCAAGAGACAACACGGAAGAGGCTGGACCTCGAACAGGGGCGGCTGCCTCACTCCCTACCTGAGCCAGCCGAGGGGGCCAAGGACTTTAGAGCTGTTTCCTCCGGCATAAGAGAGACACTTGCTTTCCAGGGCAGCACCCTTTATCGGAGAAGGCTCTACAGGGAAGGGGTCTTTGCAGCCTGGATGGCCATCCCACATTCCTTTAACGGAGGTCTCTAGGCCTCAGAGAGAACCCAGAGTTAGAAAGGAGGCCAGACGGTCCTTGCTGTCCCCCTGGGGAGAGAGGAAGTTGCCGCCTGCTGCCAGGCCCAGGAGGAGCTGGGCCTGCAATAGTGGGGGACCTGGCCCCTGAGGCAGTGGCGGCCATGTCACGGCCAGGCCACGGTGGGCTGATGCCTGTGAATGGTCTGGGCTTCCCACCGCAGAACGTGGCCCGGGTGGTGGTGTGGGAGTGGCTGAATGAGCACAGCCGCTGGCGGCCCTACACGGCCACCGTGTGCCACCACATTGAGAACGTGCTGAAGGAGGACGCTCGCGGTTCCGTGGTCCTGGGGCAGGTGGACGCCCAGCTTGTGCCCTACATCATCGACCTGCAGTCCATGCACCAGTTTCGCCAGGACACAGGTGAGCAGACACCCACCCCATGCCACCCGCCCCGCCGAGCCATCACTACCTTGCAGCGTAGGATGCTGAAAATCCCAGTAAATCTGCTGATGCCAAATCCCTTCCCCATCTCCCTGCCTCACCTCCAGAAAAACAGGGCAGTCTAACCTTGTCCAGTTTAAGACTTGGATTCCAATGCAGCCTCTGAGCAAGCTGTAGGGCCTTGAGCAAGTTGCATCATCTCTCTGAGCCTCAGTTTCCTCATCTGCAAAATGGGTAGATCAATATCTCTCACAGCTGAGTGAGGATTAAATAAAATTGTGCTCACTGAGCACAGAACCTAGAACAGCAGTAGCATGGGATTGTAGAATAAGGGCTTTACATGCACTTCCTCATTTGATTTTTCCCAAGAATCACAGGCAGTAAGTCTGTGTATTGTTGTATTATTATGAGTCCCATTTTATAGATGAAGAAACCGAGTCTCCCAGAAGCTGAGTGATTTAAACTCAGAGCTGGGATTTAAACCCAGGCGGTTGAGTTCCAGAACCAAAGTTCTTAACTGGTATCCTATACTGGCTCCAAGTGTTGGTTTGTGGGGTGGAGTCGTGCTGGTGGTAATTAATTGGGGATGGGGGGCGTTGGTGGTGTTGATGGTGGGGTGAGGTGGCAATGATGGAGGAGACAGTGTTAGCGGTTGTGTTGGTGGTGACTCAGTGATAGTATTGATGGTGGTGGGGTCTTGGTGACAATGGAGGGATGGATGATGGTGACGTGGCAGTGTTGGTGGTGATGTCAGTGATAGCGTTAACCATGGGATTCAGTGGTGTTGGTGACATTGATAGTTGTGTTGGTGGTGGTGCTGGAAGTGGTGTGATGGGGTGGTGATGATGGAGAAAATGAGAGAATGATGTTGGTGGCAGTCTTCGTGGCCATGTGGTGTGGCTGGTAGCCCTGTGTGTGGCTGTTACTTAGTGGTATTGGTGATCCTGTTGTGGTTGTAATGATGGTGATGTTGATGGTTGCGTTGGTGGTAATGTGATGGCTGATGATGGAGATAAAATCGATGAGGTCCCACTCTCAGGCCTACTCTCTTTTGTTCTGGAGATTTGTCATCGTTGGGGAGATCTCCCTGAGTCATTGCCCGGTGGTATCTGTGACAAGCTCCATGGGCAGTGGGGACTGGTGGGGTCCTGCCGTGCAGAAGCAGCCTAGAAATCCTTGGCATGTTTGACCCCCCAAGGACCAGCTGATGGGGTTTGGGGAAGTTCCTATGAATCCCTGGATGACAGAACCACACGTAATAACCCCAGGCTGGTAGGATGCTCGCTTTCCCTCTAGAGCTGTGCCAACCAATATGTTAGCCACCAACCACATGTGGCTACTTAAATTTACATTAATTAAAACTAAGTAAAATGTAAAATCCAGTTCTTCAGTCTCACTAGCCACACTTCAAGTGCTCATAGCCACATGTGTCTTGTGGTACCTTGTGGGCCAGTGTAGATCCAGAACATTGCATTGTTGCAGAAAGTTCTATTACACCATGCTAGTTAGAAAGGAGGCCAGCCTTTCTAACTAGCACAGTCCAATATAAGTTTCTGCAATGATTGAACTTTCCAATAGTCCGGAACATTGCTAGGTACCCACAGAGTGCTTACCATGTCTGGAAACACAGGCGAATTCATAACAAATGGCTTATTGATGGTACAGATTAGTACATCTATGTTTCCGTAACTCCAGGCATTGACCACCATCACTGATGGTGCCAATTGTTCATGCATTCCATCATATGATTATTTATTGATCTCTGCTGTGTGTCAATTTCTGTGCTAAGCACTGGAGTACAGCAGGGAGCAAGACAAAGTCATCAGTCGAGGTCTTGTGCTGGAGGACCTACACTGAAGGTCCTGGTGTGGTCAGGGAGCAAGCAAACATATCACCACAGAGACAATCAGTGGCAGATCCGAGAGCATGAACTAAACCTGGCCCAGAGGTACTCAGGGAAGGCTAGCCTGAGAAAGTGATGTTTGAACAGAGATCTGAAGAATGAGTGAGGGTGCCAGTGTCCCAGGCAGAGGGCACAGCCAGTGCAAAGGCCCTGGGGTAGGAAGGGGCAGAGGACATTTAAGTCCGTTCTGTTTGGGATGCATCTCCCACCAAGGGGAAGATGGTGCAAGATGGCAGCTGAGCAAGGACCGGATGTACAGGCCTGGACAGCCACGCAAAGAACTTTGAATTTGATCCAGAGAGTAGAAGTCATCATTAGCTCCATGTGCCCATTCTTCCAGAGAGGCACCAAGGACCTGATGGAAGAAGGGGAAGTGTTGCACATTACCCGCCCCATTCTGTTTTCTCCTAGGGGTAGAGGGCAGGGCTGTGAGAGCAGAAGTGGGTAGGTGTCACTCCTTGCTAGGAGGTCTGGTGTTCTGCAGGTTCAGAGCTAATGCTGGGTGTAGAGATCTTCCGGGACCTAGCTGGGTTGGGTATGGGCGGCAGGGTCCTTAGAAGCAGGGACAGACTCCCCACAAGGCTGCCAAGTTGGCAACTTTACCTTTGATCCTCTTATCTTTGGGGGGACCCCCATTTCTATTCCCAGCATCCCCTTATGTTCCCGAGTCCCCAGACTTGCACACTCCCCTTTCATCAGGCCCCATTCTCTCAATAGTACCCCTTTTATGGTTCAGCCTCACTGGATCCCCCAGAAGTTCAGCTCTGGTCACTTCCCCTCTCCCTCTCTCCAGAGCTGTTCACTCCACACCTGCCCCCTGTTTGCCGGAAAAGGGAAAAAAAACACTCATTCCTAAATGGACTCCTGGGAGCCTGCCAGGAACCCCCTCCCACCCCAACCAGAGAGGGAGGAAGGCCTGGAAACCTATTGCGATTGGCAGGAGACCTCAGCTGCCTGGGAACCTGCTGGAGAGTGGGGCAAGAGGCCTCCTCACCAGATATGTGAGGGTTTTTCCCTCGCTTTACCCAGGAGCAAAACAATGTCAAGAAAGGACGTCTTGTCCTCATTGGTAACGCACTGGAAAAGAGCCTCAACCGGCAGGGAGCAGACCTGAGTGCCAACGGTGTGACCTCAGGCCTCTCCAGGTCTCAGTTTCCACATCCGTGAAATGGGTGAGAGGATCACCTCTCCAGCAGGGTTGTCGGGTTGAACAGAGAGAATCTGGCTGATTTTATCCCACAAACATCAACTAATTATCTACTGTGCATCTAGCACGTGCTCACCACTGTGGGTACAAGAGAGACAAGCAAAAGATCTTAAATCTTTTTTTTTTCTTCTTTTTTTGAGACAGTGTCTCACTCTGTCTCCCAGGCTAGAGTACAGTGGTGTGATGTCGGCTCACTGCAGCCTCTTTCCCCGGGTTCAAGTGATTCTCGTGCCTCAACCTCCCAAGTAGCTGGCATTACAGGCAAGCTACCACATACCACACCCGGCTAATTTTTGTATTTTTAGTAGAGATGGGGTTTTACCCTGTTGGCCAAGCTGGTCTTGAACTCCTGGCCTCAAGTGAGCCGCCCGCCTCGGCCTCCCAAAGTGCTGGGATTACAAGCGTGAGCCACTGTGCCTGGCTGTGAATCTTGAAAATATTATATTTCATACACACACACACACACACACACACACACACACACACACTCCAACATAATGCTGTAAAACCCAAAACTCATGTGTATGTGCTGAAATCAACACAAGCTTCTGTCTAGATTTTCTAATTGTAAAATTCTTGATATGTTCATTGAAGCTGAACTTGAACTTTGAGGGGAGACTGCCCTAGCTTTGCTAGTTTCCCAATGCAGGAGCTGGCTGATTTTTTTCTAATAGCATCAGATAATAAATCTTTTAACTTTGTGGGACCTGCAGTCTCTGTTGTAACTATTCAACTCTATCGGAGCAGAAAAGCAGCATAGACAATATGTAAGTGAATGCGTGTGGCTGTGTTCTAATCAAACTAGTTGTGGACACAGAAATTTGAATTTCATATCTTTTTCACGGGTCATGAAATATTCTTTTTTTTCCCCCAACCATTTAAAAATGTAAAAGCCATTCTTACTTCCTGAGCTGCACGATAGCAGATGGTGGGTGGATTTGGCCTGTGTGCTGCAGGTTCACTGACCCCTGCCCCACATGTTCTGAACCTGAGCATGGGGTAAGACCGTGCTGGTGCCACAGGACACCCAGCATGGCTTATCCACCCCTTGTGGTGTGTACCAAGGTACACGTGCGTGTGCGTACACACACACAGCACCAGTCTGCTCGCACAATGCCGACACACACATGCCCTGTGTATGTGCCTCCCGTGCAGTGCAGCCAGCGGAAGAAAGCCCCGGTGTCAGGCTGGGGCCACAGGGGAGAAGCCAGGCTCTGGCCCCACAGGGGCTGCGGTTTGTTCAGCCGTGCCCCCTCACCTTTCCCCTGCTGGGCTGTTTTCACTGCTCCCTGCAGGGGGTGAGGTTCCCTTTGAAGCCCTCCAGGTCCAGAGCCCAGAGTCTGGACTGGAAACTGGAGCCCCTCCACGGGGAGGCCTAATGCTGTGACCCTGAGCTGGATGATGTTAGATCAATCACGGTGGTGTCCCAGGCAGAGGGTTGGAGGGAGAGTCAGAGCTGGGCGAGGGATGGGTCGCTTGCTCGCTTCGCAGTACTGAGCCAAGTGCCCGGTTTCCCTCAAAGCTTTCTTTCTTCATTTCCCTCTGTCTCCAACCGTCCCTCCCACAGACAAAGATTGCCACATATGGGAAGCCCAAGGCCGAAGGGTATGCTCAGCTGGTGGCTGGGCTGGGCCCAGGAGCCATCAGGGTCTTGGGGTGAGGGGGTTGGCTGCCACTGGCAGTCGGGGAAAGGTTTGAGAATGGCTTTCTGCTCCCAGAGAAGAAGCCACATCTTCCCTGGGGGGTCATTTACATCCCCTGCCACTGGGACAGCCGCCTCCGAGGGCCTCACCCAGACCCTGAATTTCCCACCCAGTTCACACAGCTGGACAGAGGTGTAACTCAGCCACTTCCGCAGAAGCTCCCAGCTCGCTCCCTGGCCTCATATGACTGGAGCTGGGGAGGGGCACCTATCTGCCTGGTATCTCCCATGTCGCTCTCCATGTGCTGCTGGAGGGGTGCATGGCAGCCTCCTGCCCCTTCTGCTGATGGGATAGCTGAGGCCGAGGGATGCCAGCTGGGGACCATCCAAAGATGCCATACCCGAGGCTGCAAGCCTGGCCTTTTCTGGTGCCCCCAAGCTGGCCAACAGGCTGGAGTGGCAGGTGGTGGCTGGTTCTGGGATCTTCCAGCCTGCCTCCTTCCCTGGAAACCTTGGGCTTCACTCAGCCCTGGTCCCTGCCATGAGAGGAAGCACTATCTGAGGACACTTAGGCTGGAGACCCTTAGGCTGTTACCACCCAGATGGGAGGAGCTTTTCCCATCACCGGGGAAAACACCTCCAGAATTAGACACCAACTGGGGACAGTGAGGCCCAGAGAGGGTGAGTGACTTCCCCAAGGTCACACAGCCTACCAGTCCTAAGCTAGAGCCCAGGCCCCCCAGACAGGCCTTAGGGATAGAAAACAAGGTGACATTTAATGCCAGGGCTGAGAGAACCCCTTCCCCCTTCCCCCTTCTCCCTTGAGAGCGCTCTTGGGGCTTGTTGTCAGGGTCTAGCCCAAGGCAGGGACAGCCTGCACTACCCTGGAGGCCTCCAGGGCTCAGCTCCTGGTTACAGGACCCTTTGGGACCCTCTCTCCAGCCTCCTCACTGGAGACTAGGGCTGGGCCTGATGCCAGGGGCAAGAAAGACTATGTGTAGGGGCAGGGAGCGGCCCATCTCTGGTAGCAGCAGGTCCAGCTAATCCATATGTGGGTGCTCCCCAACCACCAGTCACGCTGTCTGTATTTCTACTATTGCAGACCCATGGTCTCTGGCTGCTTGGCTAACTCCAGAAGCCTGTTTTGAAACTAAATTCATCGCTCGTATTTGGTAGTCATTGGTGGCTTCTCAGTACCAGGTCCTGGGCTGGGTCTTGGGGACTCAGAGAGAAGGGCAAAATCCATTTCAGAGTCTAATCTATCCATTTCAGATCAGTTTCAGAGTCTAGTGAAGGTGAAGGCAAATGCATATCATGGAAATAGCCTTTGAACCCTCTGACTCATAAGGACAACAGATACAGACCTAAAACCCAGCTTGGCCCCTTGCTGGCTGTGTGACCATGGGCAAATTCCTTAACGTCTCTGAGTTTATTTCCTCCTCTGTAAAATGGGGATAAGAATAGTCCCTAGCTGGGAGGGTTGTCATGAGGACATAATGAGATACATAAATGAGATATGTAGATAAAAGCTTGGAGGATACTACTTTGCACGTAGTAAGCACTCATGCTCGAGGAAGAAAAAGATTTAAATGCCTCACTAGGCAGATGCACGGTGCCTTCAGCCATGGGATGTGCATGGTGTATGCCTGGAGCCTCTGAGAGGAGGACTTCCTGGAGGAGGAGTCCTTTGAGAGTGTGTGATTTGGGTAAATAGAATGATAGGAGGAACACTTACAGGTGGAGGAAACAGCAGGGGTCCTTCAGCAGGGTCCTGGAGGAGGGTCTCAGGCCTGGGTGGCAGAGGGAGGCTGTGATGGGAGATAGGGGATGGGTAGAGGAGGCCTCGTGGGGCCCACTGGGGCCTGGCAGGCTGGGCTGCCAGCTGCTGCCCTTTAGCAGCCAGGCCCCGGGGGACTCACAGCCACGCTGCAGGACCAGCCTCATTAATCACGGGCCCTTGGAGCTGGAGCAGGTGGGGCAGGGGCAGCCTCAGGCACTTCCTACAGTCTGTCTGGGTTCCCTTCACCCAGCCAGCGGGTGTCACCCCATTTTACACATAGTAAAGCTGAAGCTCAGAGGGTGGGGAGCCGCCTGCCGACGCTGAGAAGAGACGGGTCTGAGATCAGATCCAGGTCTGCAGCTGGGTGCGCACGGCCCTTCCCAGGCTCGCCCGGGCCACCGAGTACCTTGGACAGCACCATCAACGACCCGCCCGCGCCTTCCGGGCTGGGGGTGGGGATGCCCGGGACAGACCCCCTCGCAGCCCTCTCCCTCTCCTTCTCCTCCCCTCACCCCTTTCTCCTCCTTCTTCCCTCCCTCCTCCTCTCCAGCTTCCTCCCATCCCCCGCCTCATTCTTCCAAAGGAGCTGCGGAGTCTGACCTGGAGAGGAAGGAGGAGATGGAAGCTGTGATGGGAAGCGTGGGGGCTGGAGTAGGGGAGGTGATGCGGAAGTGACAGGTAGCGGGGCTGTGGAGGGGATGGTGAAGAAGGTGGTAAGGAGTGAAGCGTGAGGGGTTGGGAGGGGAGATGATGGAGGGTGTGATGAGAGGGTGACGAGGAGGGGCCAGGACGGGGAGGCCACGGGGAGGCCAAGGGGTTGGGGCAGGACTGGTCACAGTGGCTCCAAGTGCCCATTCAGGCAGTAGGCAATGGGGTTGAGGTCCCTAACTCTCTCTCCAGTGTGATGTTCTTGGTGCATGGGGGTGCCTGGGGTGCTCCCAGGCCTCCGCCCGCCACCTCTGTCTCTCCCTGGGCCTCCATCCTTCCACCTGGCTCTGGAATCACAACCGGTGGTAGCCAGTCCCCAGGACAGCTCCAGTCCCTTAGATAGTCACCCCCATGAGCCCACCCAGCCTCTGGGTTGACACAGACACCCCCAGCAGCCCCTAGCTGCCTCTGGCTGACATCAACTGAGGACATGGGGCCTGGAACCTGGAAACAGCTACCTCGGGGAATGCTGTTGG